>NC_000002.12:28742873-28895623 GCF_000001405.40 Homo sapiens | reverse complement strand
CTTAACCTCCACATCCTAATACAGACTTCAGATTGGGGTGGGTGGGGAGCAGTGTGATCGGCTTGAAAGCGGGGCGGGAGGGGCGAGCAGATGTTAAAATCAAAAAGCAGTGAGTTCAAAAAGCTGAGAATGTAGAGGTGCCTGGGAAAGGCAAAAGTTAAGAGTTGAGAGTCCCACAACCTGGACGGGGACGAGAACACGTGGTGAGCCGGCACCCAAAGGGGGGGCAGGAGGGGGAAGGTCCGGAAGCAAGTACAGACTAGTCCATACCAACTGCCCAGTGCAAAACTGATGAGCCGGATCACAGACAGAGGAAAGTTAGATAGTCCCAAGATGGGGCTCTGTCAAAAACCAGAACTCTGATGAGCCAAGGCCCGGCAGAAGGAAGCCGCCCCAGGGGGACCAGGGGACTTGGCGAACATGGCTGCCCGTCAACAGTGGGGCCCAGGCCTCATTGGGCCAGCCGGCAGGGCTCGGATACGAGGCCGGCCGGGTCGAGCTGCGCCCTCCCTCACTGCCCTCGCGGCAGGCCGCACGCGGGGCTGGCGGCTTGGGCCCTGAACGCGCCGACGCCGCCTCCAAGCCTTCTGGCCCGGGCCGCTGAGAGCCACGCGCGATGCCGGACCACGCGCCACCCGGCCCGGAGGCCCGAAGCCGAGCCCGGGAAGGCGCCCGCCCCGCGCAGTCCCGCTCGCTTTACCTTGGCCTGCAGCCGCGCTGGCGCCCAGGCCAGACAGGTGCAGGTACCACTGAGGTGCGCGGAAGGCACGTACTCCTGGTGCAGCCGGTTGTTGGCCGTCTCCCATACTCGTAAGTGACCGTCGGTAGAGGCCAAAGCGAAGTAGGCCTGGCTGTGCGGGGAGAAGGCGCAAGGGACCCCAGCAGGGGCCAGGGGGTCGCAGCTACCGCCGCCGCCCGCCGCCATTGCTGCTCTGGCCCCGCTGCAGCCACGTGTTCGTCCGTGCGCAGGCGCACCGGCGCGGGGCGGAGCCTGGAGGAGGAAGTGAGGCGGAGGGAGCGCCGGGGGCTCAGGGAGTGGATCTTCGCGTCGCAGGAGAGCTTCTGGCGGATCCGCCCTGTGGACGGTGGCCCGCTAGGGCCTGTCGCTATCTTGTTCTGGGCGGGAGTGGGAGTATGGGAGAAAGTAATTGTAGAATTAAGATCAAGTCCTGTTCCTTTAAAAAAAAAAAAAAAGGGGGGGGGCCGGGCGCGGTGGCTCACGCCTGTAATCACAGCACTTTGGGAGGCCGAAGTGGGCGGATCCCCTGAGGTCGGAGTTCGAGACCAGCCTGACCAACATGTAGAAACCCCCGTCTCTACTAAAAATAAAAAAATTAGCCGTGGGCTGGGCGCGGTGGCTCACGCCTGTAATCCTAGCACTTTGGGAGGCCGAGGCGGGTGGATCATAAGGTCAGGAGTTCAAGACCAGCCTGGCCAAGATGATGAAACCTCGTCTCTACTAAAAATACAAAAAAATTAGCCGGGCTTGGTGGTTGGCACCTGTATGTAATCCCAGCCACTCGGGAGGCTGAGGCAGAGAATTGGTTGAACCCGGGAGGCGGAGATTGCAGTGAGCCGAGATCGCGCCCCTGCACTCCAGCCTGGGCGACAGAGCGAGACTCGTCTCAAAAAAAAAAAAAAAAAAAAAAAAAAAAAAAAAATAGCCAGGCGTGTGGCGCACGCCTGTAATCCCAGCTACTCGAGAGGCTGAGGCAGGAGAATCGCTTGAACTCGGGAGATGGAGGTTGCTGTGAGCCGAGATCGCGCCATTATACTCCGGGCAACAAGAGTGAAACTCCGTCTTAAAAAAATAAATAATAAATAAATAACAATTTTTTAAAACTTTAAAGAAAATGATAAGGTAGAACGAAAGGTTTGAAGGAAATCTTCAGCCGAGCGCGGTGGCTTACACCTATAATCCCACTTTGGGAGGCCGAGGCGGGCAGATCGCCCGAGGTCAGAGTTCGAGACCAAGCTAGGCAAAATGGCGAAACCTTGTCTCTACTAAAAATACTAAAATTAGCCGGGTGTGGTGGTGTGTGCCTGTAGTCCCAGCTACTCGGGAGACTGAGGCAGGAGACTCCTTGAACCCGGGAGGTGGAGGTTGCAGTGAGCCGAAATCGCCACGCCACTGCACTCCAGTCTAGGTGACAGAGCGAGACTGTCTCAAAAAAAAAGAGAGAGAAAAGAAGTCTTCACTTTCAAATTGATAATGATTGTAACAACTGCTTCCGTTTCCCCCTATTCAATTCCAGGCTGTAATCATTTACAAAATAACAATGTATTCAGTTATAATAATGTAAAAGTAATGATCGGAACAACTATTCCCTCCTGTTTCTCCAGATTTATCTCATGTTGCTACATCAAATAGACATTTTTAGGCACACGCCCATAGTCTGGAGGCTGAGGGAGGAGGATGGCTTGAGCCCACGAGGTCGAGGCTACAGTGAGCTATGACTGCTCCACTGCACTCTACCCTGGGTGACATAGTGAGATCCTGTATCCAAAAAATAAAGGGTAGATTTTTATATTTCTCCTAAATATTCACCAAATCAATGCATTCTAATTCAAGGAATGCTAGGTACTGTTCAGCCCACACAGAGCCTATTGCCTGCCAGGAAAGATAAAAACCACTCTCATGGCCATGGGAAGGCTCAAGCTTTTACAGCTACGGAGCAGCATGGTAAGATTTGCATTTTATTGTTTTCTTGTTTGTTTTTGTGTTTTGAGACAGAGTCTCACTCTGCCCAGACTGGAGTGCAGTGGCACAATCTCAGCTCACTGCAACCTCCACCTTCCGGTTCAAGTGATTCTCCTGCCTCAGCCTCCCAAGTAGCTGGGATTACAGGCGTGTGCCACCACGCCTGGCTAGTTTTTGTATTTTTATTAGAGATGGGGTTTCACCATGTTGGCCAGGCTTGTCTGGAACTCCTGACCTTAAGTAATCTGCCCGCCTCAGCTTCCCAAAGTTCTGGGATTATAGGCGTGAACCACTGTGCCTGACCAATATTTGCATTTTAGAAAGATTACATGGAGACAGTGTAATGAATGTATTAGAAGGAAGCTAGGTTGGAGGCTCGAAACCCCAGGTGGAGATGATGGTGAGTGGCTTGGAGAAATAGCGATGCAAGGAAGTTTCAAGAGTGTTTATTATGTACAATGAGCCGGATTTCAAGTGGCCAAGGGAGAGATAGAGAAACGGCCAAGGATTACTCATTGAGCTTTTACAGGGAGAGACTGGTTGGTGACCCAATTCACTTAGGATAGTGAATCCTGGAAGATTTTTGTGCAAGAAGATGATAGTGTCTTTAGTCTGGGAATGCTAAATTTGAGACATCTAATTTGGCACTTGGATTCATTCAGTTACTCAAACAAACTGAATGCCTGCTATGTGCCAGGCACTGTTTTAGGGTACCAGGAATCTACCAGTGATCATGAGAGACAAGATTCCTGCTTTCATGAAGCTGACATTCTAATCAGGGAAGCACATAATAAACAAACAAAGAAAACTCTATTTCAGCTAGTGCAAGCTGCTATAAAGAGAAATAAAGCCGGAGGAGGGAAAAGAGTTTAAGTATTGAAAGGAATTAGGGACAGCCTCACTCAGACCATGCAATATCAGAAGGAAGAGCAGTCAACCTGGGGAGAATAGCAAGTGCAAAGACTGAGGCAACAAAGACCTTGACTAGTGGAAAGAAAAAGCTTTGGAGAAACTTAGGGTAGATAGTGACAACTAGAAAAATCAAAGGTAGCAGCTGAGTTCAGAGGGAGCCAGACTATTTAGTACCTTGTAAATCAGAGTGAAGTATTTGGATTTTATTATAAGTATGATAGAAATAAGCCACTGGAGAATTTTAATGTTTTTTTTTAAGAGGTGGGGTCTTTCTGTGTTGCCCAGGCTGATCTTGAACTCCTGCACTCAAGGAATCCTCCTGCCTTGGCCTCCCAAAGTGCTGGGATTACAGGTGTGAGCCACCACATCCGGCCCCCTGCAGTTTTGAGCAATGAAATAACATGATCTGATTTATATTATTGAAAGACATCCTGGCTGCTAGATGAAGTCTGTAGGCAAGAATAAAAGCAGAAAGACAAGGTAGAAGGCTGTGGAGTAGTAGTCGGGACAAGGACAATGATTGGTAGGACTCTGATGAAAGCAATGAAGGTAGCGAAAAATGATCAGATTCCAGATATAATCTGAAGTTAGAGCCAACAGGAATTGCTAAATGAATTGACTGTGAAGGGTGAGGAAAACAGATGAATGAAGAGTGACTCTGATGCCTGGGCAAATAAGTGAATAGTGATACCATTAGCTAAATTGGGGAAAGAGTTTTGGGTGGAATGGAGATCAATCTTTGCACTTGCTGTTCTCTGCACACTGACTGCCCTTCCTTCTGACCTTGCAGAGCCAGAGTGAGGCTTTGCCTAATTCCTTCGAATACTTAAGCTCTCATTTCCCTTCTCTGGCTTTGTTTCTCCTTGTAGCAGTTTGCACTAGCTGAAATAAAGATTTTTTTTTTTCTTTTTCTTAGATGGAGTCTCACTCAGCAACCCAGGCTGGAGTGCAGTGGCACGATCTCTGCTCACTGCAACCGCCGTCTCCTGGGTTCAAGTGATTCTACCGTCTCACTCTCCCGAGTAGCTGGGATTACAGGCACCCGCCATCATGCCCAGCTAATTTTTGCATTTTAGTAGAGACGGGGTTTCACCGTGTTGGCCAGGCTGGTCTTGAACTCCTGACCTCCGGTGATCCGCCTGCCTCAGCCTCCCAAAGTGCTAGGATTACAGGCGTGAGCCACTGCACCCAGCCTAGAGATTCATTTTTAAATGTGTTTATTATCTACTTCCCTGACTAGAATGTAATCAGTTTTGGACAGTTAAGTTTGAGATACCTACTATACATTCAAGTAGGGTTGTTCAATAAGCAGTTAGATATATGAGTTGGGATTTGGAGAAAACATCACAGTTAGAGATATGAATTTGGGATGCATTAGCATACAGCTGCTATATGAAACCACGGGACTGGAAAGATCATGTTGCGTGTTAGTATAGGTAGAAAAGAATTTAGTCCCAAGCTGTGCCAATCTTTAGAAGTCAGGGAGAGGAAGAGGATTTTGCAGAAGAGATTGAGAAGAGATAACAGCAAGGCACAATGAAAACCCAGGAGAAGGAGGTGACCCAGAAACCAAATTTTTATAATTTCAGAAGCAAGACATGATAAAGCCACGTCAAATGCAGCAAAGATGAAAACTAAGAATTAACTAGTAGACTGGGAAGATCAGGGTCATTGGTGCCTTCAAAAGCGTTTTTAGGCCAGGCACAGCAGCTCACTCCTGTAATCCTAGAACTCTGGGAGGCCAAGGCAAGAGGATCACTTAAGTCCAGGAGTTCGAGACCAGCCCAAGCAACATGGAGAAACCCCATCTCTACAGAAAAATTAAAAATTAGCCAGGTGTGATGGAGTGTGCCTGTGGTCCCAGCGACTTGGGAGGCTGAGGTGGGAGGATCGCCTGAGCCAGAGAGGTAACGGCTACAGTGAGCAGTGATCTTGCTACTCCACTCCAGCCTGAGCAACCAAGCAAGGTCTTGTCTCAAAACAACAACAGCAACAAAACATTCTTAGTAGAGATGTAGGGGGAAATTTTTATTGTGAAGGGTAGAGGAGAAAAAGGGAGGTGAAAAAGTGAAGACAAGTATAGACAACTATTTCAAGGATTTTTGTTATAAAAGAGCAGATATGAGTTTGCATGAAGAAAGTTCTGAGCTAAAATTATCAGATTTGTTAAGGCATAAATATGCAAATAAAAATAAAAGCTTATTGTGCACTTACTATATGTCACTCTCTATTCTAAGTGTTTTATGTGTATTAATTCATTTAGTCCTCACAATAGCCCTGCAATGTAGAAACTATTAATATCTTCATTTTTCACATAAGAAAACTAAGGTATAGAGCTAGGAAGTAGAAGAGGAGCTAGATTTCTAACCCAAATTATCTTTGGGTTCTGACAACCTTACCCAGTGAGTACATGTAGGGTTCACATATATGACCCTCCCATACCCAAGCATATAAATTCCTTGACTTTCTCCTCTTCAATAATCTTGGCCTCTATCCTACATCAGCCACTCCCTCCCACGGTCATGTCCTGTACCTTGTCATTATAATAATGGCACCAACTCCATAATCTCAATTTCCACACCCTCTCTCTTACCACCAACTCCTATCTTTCCAGCTTGCTCCCTCTAGTTCTCAGTCTCCAGCCCATCTTTCTACCATTGAGTCCACATTCTTTTCACCATCTTTCATTTCTTCTCTCTCATGGCTGCACTTCCCTCTCCATGTAACTTAAACTATATAATTATAACCCTCAATTCCCCTGCCTCTTTCTCATACCATGTTCCTGCCTTGGTAAAACCACAAGCCTGGGAAAGTCTAACTCTCCAACTGCAGACACCTGAAGGCCACTGAAGAGAAGCCATAGCCACTCTATAATGACTTGTTTTGTTTTATTTTGTTTCTTTCTTTTTTTTTTTTTTTTTTTTTTTTCTGAGACAGAGTCTCTCTCTGTCACCCAGGCTGGAGTTCAGTGGGGCACAATCTCGGCTCACTGGACCTCCGCCTCCCAGGTTCAAGCGATTCTGCCTCAGCCTCCTGAGTAGCTGGGACTACAGGCGCGTGCCACCACACCTGGCTAAGTTTTTTGTTGTTGTTGTTGTTGTTTTGTATTTTTAGTAGAGATGGGGTTTCACCGTGTTAGCCAGGGTGGTCTCGATCTCCTGACCTCAGATGATCCGCGCCCACCTTGGCCTCCCACAGTGCTGGGATTACAGGCGTGAGCCACCTCACCCGGCTTATTTCTGTTTTGATACAGGGTCTCGCTCTGTCACCCATGCTGGAGTGCAAATGGTGTGACCTTGGCTCACTGCAACCTCTGCCTCCCAGGCTCAAGCTATTCTTCTGCCTTGGCCTCCCAAGTAGCTGGGACTACAGGCACACACCACCACACCCGGCTACATTTTTTGTTTTTGTTTTTTTTTTAGAGACAGGGTTTTGCCATGTTGCCTGAGCTGGTTTCAAGCTCCTGAGCTCCCATCTCAGCCTCCCAAAGTGCTGGGATTCTGACTCTTATCCACTTGAAATTCACATGGGAAGTCAATGCTGCCAAGGTATCAAACAGCTGTTACTCTAGTCCATTCATTTCCACTAGTTCATATCATCTATCACTCAAACCTACTCCTCTATCCTCACTCCCAGCAAATGACTTTGCTTCTTATTTCCTGAGAAAATAGAGGCAATAACAAGAGAACTTCATAAGCTCCCAGTCCTTCAGACTCCACCCACCTGTGCCCCATCTCTCCTGCTACTCTGGGTGAACAGCCTATTCTCCTGGCAAAGACTGTCCCCCACTTCAGTTCTAGGTTCCATTCCCCTCTTGCCTAGTCAAGAATGTGACTCTAAAAAGCCTTCCCTCTCTGCCAGCATCCATTTTTACCTCTCAACTTCATCTTTCTCATCAAGATATCAACATGTTATTATTTATCCTTTCTAAAAAAAAAAAAAGCCTTTTGACTCCACTTCCCCCTCCAGTTACTGTCCCAATCTTTCCGTTAACATGAAACCCAGGCCAGGCATGGTGGCTTATGCCTGTAATCCCAGCACTTTGGGACGCCAAGGTGGGAATATCACCTGAGATCAAGAGTTCAAGACTAGCCTGACCAACATGGTGAAACCCCCATCTCTACTAAAAATACAAACATTAGCTGGGCGTGGTGGTAGGCATCTACAATCCCAGCTATTTGGGAGGCTGGGGCAGGAGAATTGCTTGAACCCAGGAGGCGGAGGTTGCGGTGAGCCAAGATGGTGCCACTGCACTCCAGCCTGGGCAACAGAGCGAGACTCCGTCTCAGAAAAAAGAGTAGTTGTGGTAAGTGCTAACAAAGGAAAGTACAGGGTATAAGAGAAAGTAGCCTGGCATGGAGGGACAGGGTCAGGGAGGAGCTCTTTAAGGAAACACATCGAAGACATTTAGAAAGGCGGTATTTCACCCTTGTCCAAAGCACATTGTTTCCTCACATAGAAAATCTCGTATAGATCTTTCATCTACTTTGAAAGACAAATAACAAAGCCAAAGGCAATGCAGTTCACCAATGTTTGTTGAGTGCTTTTTTTTTTTTTTTTTTTGAGACAGAGTCTCACTCTATCACCCAGACTGGGTATAGTGGTGCAATCTTGGCTCACTGCAACCTCTGCCTCCTGGGTTCAAGCAATTCTTCTGCCTCAGCCTCCTGAGTAACTAGGACTACAAGACATGCACCACCACTCCCGGTTAATTTTTGTATTTTTAGGATACACAGGGTTTTTCACCATGTTGGCCAGGCTGGTCTTGAATTCCTGACCTCAGGTGATCCACCTGCCTCAGCCTCCCAAAGCACTAGGATTACAGGTGTGAGCCACTGCACCAGGCCCTGTTGAGTGCTTTTTAGGTACAAAGCAGAAGATGATAAGCACAGAAGTGTATGCAAATTTTTAGAGGAATTTAGAAGATGGTAACAACTGATTCAGTTTTTGAGGATCCAGTGAGATAGACTTATAAGGTATGAACAAGAGTTCTCGAAAGGGCATTCCAGGCAGAAGGTACTAGAAGAGCAAAGGCACGCAAACAGAAAAGTATGGGGCACATTCAAAGAATAGGGGGTGATTTTGTCAGCTAGTACCTTGAAAGGAAGTGTAGCCTGGTGCTCAATGCCAGTGTAAGGAGTAAAAAGTCATTGAAAGTTTGGGGCAGACAAGTCAATTTATGAGAATTGCACTTTAGGAAAAGGAGTCACATATCCAACTACCTGCAAGGCATTTGCACATGGACAATTCACCATGAGCAGCTTAAGCACAAGTCCCAGTGGAAGTCCCCATAATTCCCTCTAAAATATCTTGTTGCAGAGGCTACTAATTGTACCCTAAATTCCATTTATCCCTAAATTTCTCTACTACATTAAGGAACCTTCCATTTTTACCTGGGCATAAACCTTTCCATAACAAAGACTACATTGTCCAGCATTCTTTTTTCTTTCTTTTTTTTGAGACAGAGTTTTGCTCTTGTCGCCCAGGCTGGAGTGCAAGGGTGCAATCTCGGCTCACTGCAACCTCCTCCTCCCAGGTTCAAGCAATTCTCCTGCCTCAGCCTCCTGAGTAGCTGGAATTACAGGTGCGTGCCACCATGCCCAGCTAATGTTTGTATTTTTTGTATAGATGGGGTTTCACCATGTTGGCCAGGCTGGTCTTGAACTCCTGACCTCAAGTCATCGACCCTCCTCAGCCTCCCAATGTGCTGGGATTGCAGGTGTGAGCTACCACACCCAGCCTGTCCAGCCTTCTTTGAAATAAGGTGAGCCCATGTGAGATGGGCCTGTAGAACAATATTCTTAAAATGAGACCATATGCTATTCTTCACTACTTTTTCATTATTAATCCCTGGAACTCAAATGTGATAGCCAGGACTGGAACATCCATATTGGGCTTTGAGGAGAAAATAACACGCTGAGAATGGCAGAGCCACAAGACTGAAGGACCTAGAAACCCAGAAGCATTACATGTGCCGTGGACCAAGTCCTTTGGACTTTTTTGTTTTTGTTTTTTGTTTTTTGAGATAGGGTCTCACTCTGTTGCCCAGGTTGTAGTGTACTGGCGTGATCATGGCTCACTGCAGTCTCAATCTCCTTGACTCAAGCAATCCACCCACCTCAACCTCCTGAGTAGCTGAAACTACAGATGTTACCACCACACCTGGCTAATTTTTTATTTTTTGTAGGGATATTGTGTGTGTGTGTGTGTTGGCGAGGGGTTCTCACTATTATGCCCAGGCTGGTCTGGAAATCCTGGGCTCAAGCAATCCTCTGCTTCGGCCTCCCAACATGCTGGAATTACAGGTGTGAGCCACCGTGCCTGCACTTCTTTTAGATGAGAGAAAATGGACTTTCTTCTCCAAGTACTATAGATTAGGTTGTACAGCTGAACTTAATTCTGCTCATTCTTTTGTATTCTTTGAGTCAGTTGATGCTACCACCATCTGTCCAGTTAGCACTGTAGAAAGCCAGGAGTCCGTCCTGTTTATTCCCCAGCCCCACATCTCACTTCTACCCAAACACATACACACATTGGATAAATCATCAGATTCTATTTTATCTTTTAAATAATTCCTCATTCAATCTCCTTACCTCCATCCAATTCTATCACCTCTGTTCTTATTTGAGCCTTTACATCTCAAACCTAAGCTGCCACTACTGCTTTTAATTGGACTCTCTTCCTCCAGGCTGGTACCTAGGTATGATCTTTGAAAACCATAAATGTAACCATGCCATCTCTCTCTACTTTAAGCCCTTTCTTCCCAACCTTGCTGGCATGTACAGGAAAAAATCTATACCGCTTAATACATACGGATTACAAAACTATCTATAATCTGGTCCCTGCCAACCTCCCCAGCATCGCTCACTATGGATTGCCTCAAACATCATATTCCAGATCCTGACCTGCTTTTTTTTTTTTTTTTTAACAGAGTCTTACTCTGTCACCCAGGCTGGGGTGCAATCTCAGCTCACTGCAACCTCTACCTCCTGGGTTCAAGCGATTCTCCTGCCTCAGCCTCCAGAGCAGCTGGGATTACAGGCATGCCCCACCACACCCAGCTAAATTTTTGTATTTTTAGTAGAGATGGGGTTTCACCATGTTGGCCAGGCTGATCTCGAACTCCTGACTTCAGGTGATTCACCCGCCTCGGCCTCCCAAAGTGCTGGGATTACAGGTGTGAGCCACCACGCCCAGCCAAGAATAGTCTTTTTAATAAATGGTAGTGGGCTAATTGATATCCACATGCAAAGAATATATAAACAAGAAAGTAAACAACCAGTTTAAAAATCAGCAAAAGACTCGAATAGACATATCACCAAAGATATATGAATAGTTAATAAGCACATGAAAACATGCTCAACATAATTAGCCATTGAGGAAATGCAAGTGAAAACATTAATGAGATACAATTTCATGCCCACTACTAATATGGCTATAATTAAAAAGACAGATGACAACAATAAGTGTTGGTGAGGATGTAAAGAAACTGGAACCATTGTCTATTGCTTGGGGAAATATGAAAAGGTACAGCCTCTTGGAGAATACTTTGGTAGTTTCTTTTTAAAAATGTAACATGAATTTCCCATACAACCCAGCAATTCTGCTTCTAAGTATCTACCCGAGAGAAATGAAAACATATGTCCATACAAAAACTTGTACATAAATGTTCACAGGAGGATTATTTGTGTAGTAAAAAACCATCAGCGGCCGGGCACGGTGGCTCATGCCTGTAATCCCAGCACTTTGGGAGGCCGAGGCGGGCGGATCACAAGGTCAGGAGATCAAGACCATCCTGGCTAACAAGGTGAAACCCCATCTCTACTAAAAATACAACAAATTAGCTGGGCGCGGTGGCAGGTGCCTGTAGTCCCAGCTACTCGGGAGGCTGAGGCAGGAGAATGGCATGAACCCAGGAGACAGAGCTTGCAGTGAGCCGAGATCGCACCACTGCACTCCAGCCTGGGCAACAGAGCAAGACTCCGTCTCAAAAAAAAAAAAAAAACCGTCAACAACCCAAATGTCTATCAACTAGTGAATGGATAAACAAAATATGATATATCCAAACAATAAAATATTATTCAGCAATAGGCTGGGCGCGGTGGCTCAAGCCTGTAATCCCAGCACTTTGGGAGGCCAAGGCGCACAGATCACCTGAGGTCAGGGGTTCGAGACCAGCCT
Source organism: Homo sapiens (assembly GCF_000001405.40). Lineage (NCBI taxonomy): Eukaryota > Metazoa > Chordata > Mammalia > Primates > Hominidae > Homo > Homo sapiens. The sequence continues at coordinate 28,883,829 of NC_000002.12, read as the reverse complement.
GGCCAACATCGTGAAAACCCATTTCTACTAAAAATACAAAAATTAGCTGGGTGTGGTGGTGCACGCCTGTAATCCCAGCTGCTAGGGAGACTGAGGCATGAGAAAAGCTTGAACCCAAGAGGCGGAGGCTACACTGAGCCGAGATGGTGCCACTGCACTCCAGCCTAGGCAACACAGCAAGACTCTGTCTCAAAAAAAAAATTATTCAGCAATAAAAATGAAGTATTGATATATGCTACAACATGGATATAGCTCAAGAATCTTATGCTAAGTAAAAGAAGTTAGATACAAAACAACTACATATTGTACAATGCTATTTATATGAAATGTTCAGAAAAGGCATATTTCTAGAGGTAGAAAACAGGTGAGTAATTGCCTGGGGCTGGATGGGAATGGAGATGAAGTGTAAACAGGCATGAGGGCGCTTTTTAGGATGACAGAAATGTGTTTTGTTTTTTTTTGAGACGGACTCTTGCTCTGTTGCCCAGGCTGGAGTGCAATGCGGCAATCTTGGCTCACTGCAACCTCCGCCTCCCAGGTTCAAGCGATTCGCCTGCCTCAGCCTCCTGAGTAGCTGGGATTACAGGCGCCCACCACCACACCTGGCTAATTTTTGTGTTTTTAGTAGAGACAGGGTTTCACTGTGTTGGCCAAGCTGGTCTTGAACTCCTGACCTCAGGTGATCCACCTGCCTCGGCCTCCCAAAGTGCTGGGATTACACTTGTGAGCCACCGCACACAGCCGATAGAATGTTCTAAAGCTGGACTGTGGCCAGCTGGGGTGGCTCAAGCCTGTAAGCCCAATACTTTAAGAGGCCAAGGCAGGAGGATCACTTGAGGCCAGGAATTTGAGACCAGCCTGGGTAATGTAGTGAGACCCTATCTCTACAAAAAATAAAAAATTAGCCATGTGTGGTGGCACACTCCTGTAGTCCGAGCTGCTCAAGAGGCTGAGGCAGAAGGATCCCTTAAGCCCAGGGGCTCAAGGCTGCAGTGAGTTATGATCATGCCATGCCCTGCAGCCTGGAGGACAGAGGGAGACTCTGTCTCAAAAAAATTAAAAATAGGCCGGGTGCGGTGGCTCACGCCTGTAATCCCAGCACTTTGGGAGGCCGAGGCCAGTGGATCACGAGGTCAGGAGATCAAGGCCATCCTGGCTAACACAGTGAAACCCCGTCTCTACTAAAAATACAAAAAAATTAGCTGGGTGTGGTGGCGGGTGCCTGTAGTCCCAGCTACTCAGGAAGCTGAGGCAGGAGAATGGCGTGAACCCAGGAGGCGGAGCTTGCAGTGAGCCGAGATGGCGCCACTGCACTCCAGCCTGGGCGACAGAGCGAGACTCCGTCTCAAAAATAAAAATAAAAATAAAAATAATAACATAAAGTTGGTTTATGGTAATGATTGCACAATTTTATTAAATTACTAAAAATCACTGGATTGTTTGCTTACTAAATATTTCCAAATTTTATTAAAATTTAGCTTACAATTGTTAAATTTTATTGTATGTAAATTAACCTCAATGAAGTTTAACAAAAACAGGAAAACCTTTCCTAAGATAGTTTTTTTAATAGTAGAGTGCTAATAATAAATACAGAAAAAGTCATCAGTGACTGTAAAACTAGTCTCAATGTAGCTTCCCATAAATTATTTATTAATTTACAAAGTTAAAATAGTAACTTTACGGTGGCGATATTATAATTAATCTGACTTAACTAAGCAATCAAAGTTAACATCACCAATATAGGTACAAACCGGCAACATATGACTCCTGATACGATGTCTTATGAAGGAAAACTTCAATTCACTAGTAATTTTATGTTTGTTTGTTTGTTTATTTATTTACTTACTAAGACAGAGTCTCACTCTGTCACCCAGGCTGGAGCATAGCCTCAAACTCCCGGGCTCAATGGTCCTCCCACCTCAGCTCCCCAGGTAGCTGGAACTACAGGCACGCACCACTAAACCTGGCTAAGTTTTGTATTTCTAGTAGACACAGGGTTTCACCATGTTGCTCAGGCTGGTCTCAAACTCCTGAGCTCAAGTGATCCACCCACCTTAGCCTCCCGAAGTCCTGGGATTACAGGCGTGAGCCACCACACCGAGGCTTCAGTGATATTTCTACTAAAAATGTGTAATCCACATCTAATCAGGAAGAAACATCAGTCAACCCAAAGCAAGGAGAATTCTATGGAACAACTGACGTGTACTCTTCAAAACTATCAAAGTCAGAAAAATAAAGCAAGGCTGAGGAGCTGTTTTTTTCCAGATAAAAGAAGACTAAAGAGACATGACAACTAAATGAAATATGTGAATCTGGATTGGATTCTGGGCTGGAAAAAACTGTGGAAGATATTATTGGGCAAAATGACAAAATTTGAATGTGTTCTGTATTAGACAATAGTATGATAACAATGTTAAATGTCCTTAATGTGATAATCTGTACTGTGGTTAGGTGGGAACATGTTCTTGTTCTTTTTTTTTTTTTTTTTTTTGGGACAGTCTCACTGTCGCCCAGGCTGGAGTGCAGTGGCGCGATCTCGGCTCACTGCAGGCTCCGCCCCCCGGGGTTCACGCCATTTTCCTGTCTCAGCCTCCAGAGTAGCTGGGACTACAGGCGCCCGCCACCTCGCCTGGCTAATTTTTTGTATTTTTAGTAAAGACGGGGTTTCACTGTGTTAGCCAGGATGGTCTCGATCTCCTGACCTCGTGATCCGCCTGCCTCGGCCTCCCAAAGTGCTGGGATTACAGGCGTGAGCCACCGCGCCCGGCCCATGTTCTTGTTCTTCGGATATACCCACTGAAGTATTTAGGGATAAAGGGATGCCATATCTCTAATCTACTTTCAAATGGTTCAGGAAAAAAAAATGTTCATGTGTGTGTTATGTGCACAGAGAAAGATGGGGAGGAAAGGAAGACAGAGTGGGAGAGGGAGAGGGAGAAAGAAAGCGAGAGAGAAAGAATTAAAAAGCACACGGGGTCAGGCGCGGTGGCTCACGCCTGTAATCCCAGCACTTTGGGAGGCCGAGGCGGGTGGGTCACCTGAGGTTGAGAGTTCAAGATCAGCCTGATCAACATAGAGAAACCCCGTCTCTACTAAAAATACAAAAAATTAGCCGGGCGTGGTGCTGCATGCCTGTAATCCCAGCTACTCGGGAGGCTGAGGCAGGAGAATCTCTTGAACCCGGGAGACGGAGGTTGCGGTGAGCCGAGATTGCGCCATTGCACTCCAGTCTGGGCAACAAGAGCAAAACTCTGTCAAAAAAAAAAAAAGAAAAAGAAAGGAAGGAAGGAAGGAAGGAAGTGAGGGAGGGAGGGAGGGAGGGAGGGAGGGAGGAAGGAAGGAAGGAAGGGAGGGAGGAAGAAAGGGAAAGAAAGAAAGGAAGGAAGGAAAGAAAAGAAAAGGAAAGGAAAGAAAAAAGAAAAGAAAAAGGAAAAGGAAAGAAAGAGCAAAGGGATGAAAATGTAAAAAGTTGGTGAAGGTGGAAAACAGGTATGGGAGACCTTTGTGCACCTTTAGAAATTATATCAACATAAAAATTACAAGAAAGTCTTTCTTGATCCCCCACTCAAGCCCCACCTGCTTAGGGAATCCTTGTCTGAGTCCGCACTATGTAGACTGCTATCATTTCATTCCCCACACTGCATTAAAAGAGCCTGTTCCAGAGCCAATCATTCCAGTGGTAGCTAGCACACCCAACACCTGAGTGGGTCAGCTTTTTAAAATCATCCTCCTTCTCTATAAAATAAAAATATTTTTAGTAATAATCATAACATGAAACAAATAACAATAAACATCATGAAAAAAATACGCTGGTAATTCTCTGTTGTTGAATTTCACATATGAAGCCCTGCCAGTTAAAATAGATAAATTAATAATAGATACCATAGCGCAAAAAAAAGGAAAAAAAAAGTGGGTTAATATTGTTAATTACATTAAAACATTTTTACAACATAGTGAGACCTTGTCTCTACAAGAAAAATAAATAAAAGTTAGCCAGGGCTAGGTGTGGTGGCTTATGGAAGTAATCCCAGCACTTTGGGAGACTGAGGAAAGAGAATCACTTGATCCCAGGAGCTCAGGACCAGTCTGAGTGACATAGTGAGGCCCCATCTCTAAAAAAAAATTTTTTTTAGGCCAGGCTTGGTGGCTCACACCTGTAATCCCAGCACTTTGGGAGGCGGAGGCGGGTGGATCACTTGAGGTCAGGAGTTTGAGACTAGCCTGGCGAACATAGTGAAATCCCGTCTCCACTGAAAATACAAAAATTAACTGGGCGTGATGGTGGGTGCCTGTAATCCCAGCTACTCAGGTGGCCAAGGCTGGAGAATCACTTGAACCTGAGAGGCAGAGGTTGCAGTGAGCCGAGATCATGCCATTGCACTCCAGCCTGGGTGATGCAGTGAGACTGTCTCAGGAAAAATAAAAAATAATAATAATACTTTTTTTTTAATTTGCTGGGCATAGTGGTGTGTACCTGTAGTCCCAGCTACTGGTGAGGCTGAGGTGAGAGAATTTAGGCCAGGCTTGGTGGCTCACACCTGTAATCCCAGCACTTTGGGAGGCGGAGGCGGGTGGATCACTTGAGCTCAGGAGTTCGAGACTAGTCTGGCCAACATAGTGAAATCCTGTCTCCACTGAAAATACAAAAATTAACTGGGCGTGATGGTGCATGCCTGTAATCCCAGCTACTCGGGTGGCCAAGGCTGGAGAATCACTTGAACCTGATTCTCCCTGAACCCAGCCTCCCAAAGTGCTGGGATTACAGGCATGAGCTACTGTGCCCGGCCAACAATTTCTTTTACATTAAACAACATATATACAAATAGTTAAGAAAAGTTTTAAAGATAAATTTGTCAGATTCATACAAATCCCGTTTCTCAATAAATTTTAGTAATTGTAATACTGTCCATGCGTTTGTTTCTTTGAGTAACTTTCAGATGTCTAGGTAACTTTCAGATGTCTCTATGGTTAAAATATTTTAAACACAAATAAAAACATCAAACTGTCACAGTATGACAGGATGAAAGTACTTCAAATTCTGCTGCTGCTTCTTTATAATTGATGTGTTATTATTGCTTATTTGAAATCTCCTGTTGTAACACAGGCATATATAGTACCACGGGGGTACTATGAAGTGTGCCCATAGCAAGCTCAAATGATTCTGAAACTTTAAGAACTTAAAAAGAACTCTTGGAACTGCATCCACAGTGTCAGGGCCAGTTATATAATTAAAAATTCTTGGAATTAACTTTCTTATCTTTTCTTTTTCTTTTTTCTTTTTTCTTTTCTTTTCTTTTTTTTTTTTTACAGAGTCTTGCCCTGTCACCGGGCTGGAGTGCAGTGGTGCGATCTTGGCTCACTGCAACCTCCACCTCTTGTGTTCAAGTGATTCCTCCGCCTCAGCCTACTGAGTAGCTGGGACTACAGGTGCATGCCACCACGCCAGGCTAATTTTTTGTGTTTTAGTTTGACTCTATTGGCCTGGATGGTCTCAATCTCCTGACCTCGTGATCCACCTGCCTTGGCCTCCCAAAGTGCTGGGATTACAGGTGTGAGCCACCGCGTCCAGCCAGAATTAACTTTCATATAGAATACAAAATTTACCAAAGGATAAGTAATTAGGATGTGCTCATTTGAAGCATAGGTTACAAATGCACATACATACATACGTACTTCAAACTCTATAATATTAAGCAAAGTGCAGTGTTTAGAACTTAAGCCAATACTAAAAGTTTTAGAGGAGAGTATTTTATCACTGACATTGTTTACAATTGGTGGCACACAGTGATTGTAAGAAGCAGACTGACTTGTAGTTGGCTATATTGTTGTTTTTGAATTCTTCACAGACAGCGCACCTCTTTATGGCCTGAATGGTGGGCAGGCAGCTCCCACCACTCTGACCTTGGTATACCATTGTATCTTCCCTAACGGATTGTGAGTTCTTTGAGGGAAAGACCTAATCCCTGCCCCTCTCTCCAATCTCTGTATCCCCAGCCTAGCACAATGCATAGTACACAGGAGATTCTCAGCACATGTTCCAAGGTAGTCAGACTTTGTAGTCTATGAGGAAGATGATTGTGCCTACAGAGGACCTGAGAAGGAAATCCACAGGAGCTGGCCACTGATCAGAGGGTATGAGTATATGTCCATCTGTCTGGGTTGGAAGAGAGGTGGAAAGAAAAGAATCACAGGTGATTTGAAACTTTGTAGCCTGGAAATGATAGAAAATCATATGATTTTTACTGATATAGGGGCTATCCAGGGACAAGGGTTCCAGAGAACTGGAAGAAGGAAAAAACAAAGGAGAGGTAAAAATGATGAGTTAGTCCAGTCTGATCCATTCTGAATGATGGTGGTGGTGTCTAGCAGAGAGTCGAAAAAATGGAATTTTTGTATTTCTTATAGAGATGAAGTCTTGCTATGTTGCCTAGGCTGATCTTGGATTCTGGCCTCAAGTAATCCTCCCACCTCAGCCTCCCAAAGTGCTGGAATTATGGCTCAAAGTGCTGAGCCATTGTGCCCAGACTCGAAAATATGGATTTTATATTTTATTTTTGCTTAAAAGATTCAAGTGTCTTTTTAATAATTTTCTATTGGCTTTTTCAAAAATGAACACTGTTTCAGCTACTTTATCCCTAAATAGGTTTTTGAACAGACCTGGGAATGTAACCACTATTTACACCAGATTGCAAAGATCCTATTTATAACTAAGTTTTTGGAATACAACATATTTGTTCAATGGGGGATTACCTAAACTAGCTAGCATGCACCCATAAGATAAAATGCTAATTGCCCCAAATCCATTCCCCCCTTCTTCAATAATAATAGAATTTCAGTTTTGGCTGGCTTATGTCCAGCTGTAACAAAATTTCTCAGCTTCCCTTGCAGCTGGATGTGGCCATGTGATTAAGTTCTGGTCAGTGAAATGTAAGCAGAAGTAATACGAGCATTTTTAGAGACACTTTTAAAGGCGGTATGACTTTATTCTTTTTCCCCTTCTTACTGACTGGGATGTAGTATAGCATGAGTATAAGATCACTACAGAATGACCATAGCATAGGATGAAGTGTAGAATGATACTTCAGAGTGTCGCTTTAGCCCAGAATTTCCTACTTCACTTACAGCTAAACTGTATCTTAACTAATACACAATCTTACCAAACTGCTTGACTTTACAGAGCACAAACAAGAGCCACTTAATTAGGCAAGACTTCTTGTAGTAGGAGAGCTCACCATGGTGACACTTGTACATGGTCTTGCTAAGGTGTGAGCCAAAGCATTTACTGTTGTTTATGCTCATTCATAATCTATAATACAAAGAATGGGAACAAGAAAAGAGTAAAGAATGAGAAGAACAGAAAAAGGGCATGACTACAATTTTGCAAAACTAAACAAAACAAAAAACAGCAATACACAGAAGAAGGATTAGAACAGAATTTTCCTGGGTGTCCAGATAAGTCCTCTGGTTGTAAGATATGCATGATTAGGAGTCAATTATGCAAAGTGAGTGAATGAATGAAGAATGAATCTGCCAAGGTTTTAAGACTTAAAGTTTAGATGAGTTGATTTTTTTTTTTTTTTTTTTTTTTTTTGATGGAGTCTCGCTCTGTCACCAGGCTGGAGCGCAGTGGTGCAATCTCGGCTCACTGCAACCTGTGCCTCCCAGGTTCAAGCAATTCTCCTGCCTCAGCCTCCCGAGTAGCTGGGACTACAGGTGCACGCCACCACGCCCAGCTAATTTTTGTATTTTCAGTAGAGATAGGGTTTCATCATGTTGGCCAGGATGGTCTCGATCTCTTGACCTCGTGATTCGCCCACCTTGGCCTCCCAAAGTGCTGGGATTACAGGCGTGAGCCACCGTGACTGGCAGTGGAGTTGATTATTTTACGTGCATTCATTATAAGCTTGGTGAACAAAGACAGCGAACATAAACACAAAGCTTAAACGTCTCACAGCTAACTTTAAAATCCAGCGGACTTATTGAGGGTGAGTTGGTGCACCTGAGAAAGAGATGGAGGGTGGAAAGGAGAAACTCAGTGTGGAGGTTCTCTGAAGCCCAGACAGGAGCAGGACGCTGACTAGGTAGGGCTGGGGCCGATGGAGGTGAGGAGTCAGTCCATTCTCCAAAAGAAGGACCCTGATGAGAAGGAAAGAGGATCTAAGATCTTCTCCAGGAGGAGGAAGGACTGATCAATTCTTGAAACTCTAAAATGATGGCTTACAATGTGCTAACAAACTGGCTTGGGTTCATCCTGTATAATATCCTCTAATTTAGAAACAGAAAAGGGGTTTAGTGAGTGGTGGTGGTGGGTGGTGATAAGTGAGAAGACCCTCCAATTCTCAATATCATCAATTTTTCTTTGATGCCTGTACACATGTTTGAGAAGGTTTTAAACTTCTCTGAATTTGGATTTGCAGTTTCTAGTAACACAGCAGTAAATCCTAGAGGAGAAGTTCTACAGAATCCAGATTCAAGTTTAGCAGCAACTGGGGATAAAGTGAAAAAGCAGGAGAAAAGCAGGTATAGTCTTAGACATAGATATTTTCTATTTTGCTAAAATACAGTAAGAAAAAAATCTGTGAACTTCAACAGTTCTAATAAAAACTAAATGAATGTACAGACACAGAACAAAATACATGATAACTATTAAATATAATTGCACCATGTTTATACATTGAGTTATTTAGTATAGTAGTCTAGGTATCAGTGCTGTTAATTTTCTCATTTTCTACTTTCTTCATTCATTTATTCAACAAATGTTTATTGAGAGATGTTTTGTGCCAGGCACTGGAATTATAATGATGAACAAGACATAGTCTTCTCCCCAACAATTATATCCTCTATCCTGGGAAATGATAAATAGCAATTTCCATATAGTATGACATGTGCCATGATAGATCTAAAGACAGGACTCTGGCTGGATGTGGTGACTCTTGCCTATAATTCCAGCATTTTGGGAGGCTGAGGAGGGAGGATTGCTTGAGGCTAGGAATTGAGACTGCCCTGGTCAACATAGTAAGACCCTGCATCTACAAAAAATTTTTTTTAAATTATGGCCAACCGCGTGGCTCACACCTGTAATCCCAGCACTTTGGAAGGCCAAGGCAGGTGGATCACTTGAGGTCAGGAGTTTAAGACCAGCCTGCCAACATGGTGAAACCCCGTCTCTACTAAAAATAGAAAAATTAGCCAGGGGTGGTGGCATGAGCTTGTAATCCCAGTTACTCGGGAGGCTGAGGCAGGAGGATCACTTGAACCCGGGAGGCAGACCTTGTAGTGAGTCAAGAGAATGCTACTGCAGTCCAGCCTGGGTGATGGGAGTGAAACCCTGTAAAACAAAACAAAACAAAACAAAACAAAACAAAACAAACAAACAAACAAAACAAAAAAACAAAAAAAAACAAAAAACATTGGCTCACGCATGTATTCCTAGCACTTTGGGAGGCTGAGGCAGGTGGATCACCTGAAGTCAGGAGTTCGAGACCAGCCTGGCCAACATGGTAAAACCCCATCTCTACTAAAAATACAAAAATTTGCTGGGCATGGTGGTGGGTGCCTGTAATCCCAGCTACTTGGGAGGCTGAGGCAGGAGAATCGCTTGAACCCAGAATGGGGAGGTTGCAGTGAGCTGAGATTGCGCCATTGCACTCCAGCCTGGGCGACAAGAGCAAGACTCTGTCTTTAAAAAAAAAAAAAAAATTGCCATGCATTGGTGGCACATGCCTGTAGTCCCAGCTACGCTGGAAGCTGAATCAGGGCAATTGCTTGAGCCCAGGAGTTCGATGCTGCAGTAGGCTATGATGGCACCACTGCACTCCACCCTGGGTGACAGAGCAAGACCCTATTTCTAAAATAAAAACAAAAACAGGCAGGACCCACTGGGAGCAGAAGTGAAAGGCACTACTCTAGGTCTTTTGGGATTGGTACAAAGCCACCATTCCAGTGGTACTGTGAGGTTGATAGCTGGAGGACAAGGGAAAACTACACAAAATAGAGTGAAGAAGCATGTGCAAAGAGCTGGAGGAGATCACCTGTGGAACTAGAACTGGTTGCCTGTTTGGAGATTTTAAAATGCCAGCCATCAGCCATGGTATTTATTGAGAACTATTCAGATTTTAAAGTAAATGCTTAACTAAATGTCACTAGAAAACAGTATTTTTCTTAGCCTTATAATGTAAACATGGGCTGGGCGCGGTAGCTTACGCCTGTAATCCCAGCATTTTGGGAGGCCGAGGTGGGTGGATCACCTGAGGTCAAGAGTTCAAGACCAGCCTGGCCAACATGGTGAAACACAGTCTCTACTAAAAATACAAAAAATTAGCCAGGCGTGGTGGCACAGGCCTGTAATCCTAGCTACTCAGGAGGCTGAGGCAGGAGAATCACCTGAACCCAGGAGGCAGAGGTTGCAGTGAGCTGAGATCGTGCTATTGTACTCCAGACTGGGTGACAAGAGCAAAGTTCCGTCTCAGTAAATAAATTAAGTAAGTAAACATGATAAGTTGACGATGTATCACAAATTCATCATCAAGATAATAGTTTCAGAGTGCAGGCTGACAATTTCATAGGGAAAGCAGAAGTAAAGGATAGCCAGAAATAGAAAGGCCCACATAGTGACTTCTTTTTTAAGAATTTCAATGCTCTGAAAGATCATGAATAAATAATATTATTTTCCAAAATGTACTAATGTATTTCATTAGATGTGTATAAAACAAAATACGTATAACATTGTGGCTGTTATTTAAACAATGGAAAGAAAGTGATGCCATTTTCCATTTACAATTTGTTTTAAAAATCAAAGATATGTAAATTTACTTCCCATATTTTGTTAGTGTATTTTCTTTTTTTCCAATTCCTGCTTATTCTGAAATAACAGCCAAGTATCATTTGATAATACTCAAGAAATAATAAAGTAGGTATGATAACTTTTAAAACCACCATAGGGCTTAGAGTTCAGGAGGTTCCGGCTCAGACCCATGTTTGGCAATGATAATCTCCTTAATTTCAAGAATTTTATAACCAAAAATGAGTTTTTGTCTTAGAAAGCCTATCACAAGAAAAAGTAGTGAGAAAAGCCTACGACTCCAGAAACTATTGGTCATAACTTTTCCTAAAAAGCAAACTACACAAAGTGAGACACGCAGTTGGGGTGTGGAGAGAGCAGTTTCTTTATTCATTTTTAGAATTAGAAGGGAGAAATTTGGCTGGGTGCAGTGGCTCATGGCTGTAATTCCAGCTCTTTGGGAGACTGAGGTGGGTGGATCACCTGAGGTCAAGAGTTCAAACCAGCGTGGCCAACATGGCGAAACCCCGTCTCTACTAAAAATACAAAAATTAGCTGGGTATGGTGGTGCACACCTGTAATCCCAGCTATCTGGGAGGCTGAGGCAGGAGAATTGCTTGAACCTGGGAGGCAGACATTGCAGTGAGCCGAGATCATACAACTGCACTCCAGCCTGGGCGAGAGTGAGACTCTGTCTCACAAAGAAAAAAAAAGGAAAAAAAGAAGGGAGAAATCCTGTTGATGGAGTTTATGGTGGCTGATGTCCTAGAAAGTACTGATTAGAAAGTATTAATTTATGTCTTAGAAAGTAATAACGGCCAGGCGCGGTGGCTCATGCCTGTAATCCCAGCACTTTGGGAGGCCGAGGCGGGTGGATCATGAGGTCAGGAGTTCGAGACCAGCCTGGCCAACATGGTGAAACCGAGTCTCTACTAAAAATACAAAAATTAGCCTGGCATGGTGGCAGGTGCCTGTAACCCCAGCTACTCGGGAGGCTGAGGCAGGAGAATCGCTTGAACCCAGGAGGCAGAGGTTGCAGTGAGCCAAGATCGTGTCATTGCACTCCAGCCTGGGCAACAAGAGCAAGACTCTGTCTCAAATAAAAAAAAAAAAAAAGAATAACAAGATTTATTTCATCAAATTTAAACAGAATTCACATTGACTTCACAGCCCTTTGAATATACTTGGACTTTAAGTTCAACTGTGCTGTTGACCAGTCTTTCCAAACGGTGTTACAGTACAAAGAGCATGGGCTGCTGAACCAGACTGACTAAATAGGAAACTCTGCAATGCCACTTGTCAGCTATGCATCTTGACCAACTTATTATTATTATGTTGCACGTGGGTCTTGAAATCCTGGGCTCAAGCAATCCTCTGGCCTGGGTCTCCCAAAGTGTTGGGGTTACAGGTGTGAGCCACCACTCCTGGTTTCCCCAAATTATTTAATCTCCCTGGGCCAGTTCTTTTACTCATAAAATGGATTTGTTTCTAACACAGAATTGTTGGAAACTTAAATGAGTGTCTAACGTGCCTCGTATTGCCAGACTCTCAATAAACTTTTGCCCAGTCAACTAATATCCAGCAAAGAGGCTAGCGATTTTTCTTTTTTTTTTGAGACAGAGTTTTGCTGTGTCGCGCAGGCTGGAGTGCAGTGGTAGCTCGATCTTGGCCCGCTGCAACCTCCGCCTCCTGGGTTCAAGCTATTCTCATGCCTCAGCCTCCCTTGTAGCTGGTATTACAGGCGTGCACCATCGCGCCCGACTAATTTTTTTCCCCCGAGAGGAGTTTTGCTCAGTCGCCCAGGCTGGAGTGCAGTGCCGAGATCTCAGCTCACTGCAACGTCTGCCTCCCGGGTTCAAGCGCTTCTCCTGCCTCAGCCTCCCGAGTAGCTGGGATTACAGGTGCGTGCCTCCACGCCCAGCTAATTTTTGTATTTTTAGTAGAGACGGGGTTTCACCACATTTGCCAGGCTGGTCCCGAACTCCTGACCTCAAATGAGCCGCTTGCCTCGGTCGGCTTCCCAAAATGCTGGGAGGCTAGTGATATTTAACGCTAAATAACTCTGGCCTCCAAAGATACCTGTTTCCATTTTAAGACACTTCTATTTCGTTTTGGGAGGGTAAACTAGTTATATTTTAATAATGAAAACATGTGTTACATAAGCACATAGTGAGTACTCGAATCAACCTCGGACTCTCCGGGCGTGAGGGGTGGGTGAGGGGACCGGCAGGTGGTCACAGCCCCATCAAAAGGGAGTTGGGGCTGGGGGATGTCGCGGTCAACTGGGAAAGGAGAGCCAATCAGCAAGTGGCGCGTCCCACGCCGTCTGTCAAATGCATCTGGGGGTTAGCTGTACTCATACATCTTGTGGGTGACTAGGTGACTTCCGTGTTCAAGACACAAGCGAGCTAAGCCTGGGATTTCAGTTTGCACAGCGCTTTGTTAAGTTTTGTCTCTCAATCTTGCTGTCCAAGAGCGAACCTGGAGGTCGTCTGTTAGCGGTAAATTCTTTACCCACATTCCGAAAAGGAAAACGGCGGCCGCGCGCGAGGACATATTCCTTGGATGGTCACTCAACCAGGACTCCGCTGCTCCCGCGCCCTAGCTTGACCTAGCGCACCGCCCCCTCCCCGACGCAGGCGCAGTCGCGGAGCTGTAGAGCCCCACGCAGCTGCAGAGCCATCGGGCTGCTGCGCCATGCGCGCGACTGGGAAAGAAGGGGTCGCGCTAGGCTTGCGTCACTCGTCTGCGACGGCGCCTTCGCGAAACACTATGCTAATGGCATGGTGCCGCGGTCCTGTCTTGCTGTGCCTGCGGCAGGGGCTCGGAACCAATTCATTCCTGCACGGCCTGGGGCAGGAGCCCTTCGAGGGAGCTCGGTCACTGTGTTGCAGGTCCTCGCCTAGAGACCTGCGAGATGGAGAAAGAGAGCACGAGGCGGCACAAAGGAAAGCCCCAGGAGCAGAGTCTTGCCCATCTCTCCCTCTGAGCATCTCGGACATTGGGACTGGATGTCTTTCGTCACTGGAAAACCTCAGACTGCCGACGCTGCGGGAAGAGTCATCCCCTCGAGAGCTCGAGGACTCGAGCGGAGACCAGGGCCGGTGCGGTCCCACACACCAGGGATCCGAGGATCCTTCGATGCTCTCGCAGGCCCAGTCCGCTACCGAGGTCGAAGAGCGTCACGTCTCCCCTTCTTGTTCAACTTCCAGAGAGAGACCCTTTCAGGCTGGGGAACTGATTTTAGCTGAGACTGGGGAGGGAGAAACAAAATTTAAGAAATTATTTAGGTTGAACAACTTCGGACTCTTAAATAGTAACTGGGGGGCAGTCCCGTTCGGCAAGATCGTGGGGAAGTTCCCCGGCCAGATACTGAGGAGTTCCTTCGGTAAGCAGTACATGCTGAGGAGGCCAGCCTTGGAAGACTATGTAGTATTGATGAAAAGAGGGACTGCCATAACATTCCCAAAGGTAATGCGATGGAGATAAGGTGTGTATTGGTTTCAGGAGGGGCAAAGACAGATGCAGTACTCAGTCCTGATTAATGTATTCAAAGACATCTCAGAACGTTTGGATTTTTTATTGTACTCAGGCTTTTAAAATAAACCAATGGTTATAACTTTTACATATCATGATGAAAATTAGCATTAGGGAACGGCTAGATTTTAATTTTAACTTAGGAGTCTCGAGTCCCTTATTTGTAAAATGTGGATAATAGCTCAACTTTCTGTTAGGGTGATGTGAACTCACTACGTACATAATAAGTACTAATTTTGTTCCCCATTACTCTTAAGTTTATAACTTCAGGACTCAAGAGAATGTTGAACTCTTAGGGAACAATTTTTTAGTACTACTATGATGATATTTTAATATTCAATAATCATGTTACAAGAGTATATTAACAATAGGTACATTACGGTGCTTTTCCCCTTTTAGGGAAGAAATAGAGTTTTATATTACAATAGCTAACATTCAACACCAAACATAAAATGACTATTCTTTATTAAAAAGTTAACTGCCTAAAGCCTAGTTTCAGTCTTTTTTTTAAGACAAGTTCTCACTCTGTCATCCAGGCTGGAGTGCAGTGTTGCGATCTTGGCTCCCTGCAACCTCTGCCTCCCGGGTTCAAGCGATTCTCCCACCACAGCCTCCTGAGTACCTGGGACTACAGGCATGCACCACCACCCCGGGCTAATTTTTGTAGAGACGGGGTTTCGCCTTATTGCCCAGGCTGGTCTTCAACTCGTGGCCTCAAGTGATCCGCCCACCTCGGCCTCCCAGTGCTGGGATTACAGGCGGGAGCCACCGCGCCCAGCCCTAGTTTGAAGCTTATGCTAATCATCTATTGCTAGCAGATTATTTCAATCCTTAGTCACAGTCCTTGAGTAGAATGTTCCTGTGTAACACAACTCCTCCTCCTTTCTCCAGATCAGGATTCATTCGTTATTTATTCAGCAAATTGACTGCCTTCCATACTCAAGGCACTGTTTAGGGAAGTATAGTGTTGAACTGCAGTCCTCACCCTCAACATAGACCTTACATTCTAGAAGGGGTGACAAAGAACAAACAAGTAAATGAAAGAATAAGGTCATTTCCAGTAGTGTTAAGTGTCATGAAGACAAATATATTAACAATGACATTGTTTTGGGTGACCTGGGGTATGAGCATACTTTATGTCAGGTGAGGAGAGATGGTCTCCAAGGAGGTACACTTGATAGGAAACCTAAATAAGGAAGAGCTTGCCTTGTAAACAGATCTAGGAAGAGAATTGTTCTTGCAAAGGGAGGAATGCTGCAGAGTTTCTGTTGTGGCCTCAATGGGTCAGATGAGGGACCCCGTATGAGGTGTGGTTTGAGTATTTTATTCCATTTGTAGTGAAGGACCATTAGAAGGTTCTTAGTAGGAATCCAGTCTGTATTTTAAACGGTCTACCCAGGGACTAAAAAAACTTTCCTCAGAAACTTAGGCTACTGAGGTATAATAAGCTTTTTTTGTTTAAAGACAAGGTCTTGCTATGTCACCCAGGCTAGAGTGCAGTGGCTCAATCACCTCTTACTGTAGCCTGAACCTCCCAGGCTCCAACAATCCTCGCACCTCAACCTCCTGAGTAGCTGGGACCACAGGTGCATGCCACTATGCCTAGCTAATCAAAAATTTTTTTTGTAGAGTTGGGGTCGCCCTAACTTGCCCAGACTGGTCTCAAACTTCTCTAGGCTCAAGGGATCCTCCCTTGAGGGTGCTGGGATTACAGGTGAGAACGACCGCTCCTGGCCATGGTATCATAAGCTCTTGAAGAAAACTAAAAGACTTTCGTAATTTTATCTTGCTTCCCCGTGTCTCCTTTCTCCCCATTAGACAAAATCAGGAGAGATTAGTTACATTTCATGAAGTTATAAATATGCATATTTAGTATACTTTCTGCCTTTCCATTTGTTACAGATAAAAGTCACATTGTTCCACTCTAAGGAGGAATTTAAGTACTAAATTTGTTAGGTGTTGACTTCTCTTTATAGCTTCCAAGTAATGGCTGGAGATAGTTTTACTTCAACTTCTACAACTTTGAAATGCTTGAGGGAATACCTTCACTGATGTTTAAAAACTGATCTCCCTGTTAGAATTACATAATTCCATCTTAGTATTAAAAATATGACCAGAGGCAGAGTGCAGTGGCTCACACTTGTAATCTCAATATTTTGGGAGGCTGAGGCAGGAGGATCATTTGAGCCCAGAAGTTTGAGACCAGCCGGGGCAACATAGGGAGACCTTGTCTCTACAAAAAATAAAAAATTAGCCAGGTATGCTGGCACACACTTGTGGTCCCAGCTACGCAGGAGGCTGAGATGGGAGGATTGTTTGAGCCCAGGAGTTTGAGGCTGCAGCGAGCCATGATCTTGCCACTGCACTCCAGCCTGGGCAACAGTGTAAGATCCTATCTCAAAAAAAAAGTGAGGGGGCAGGTGCCGTCACTCACACCTGTAATCTCAGTGCTTTGTGAGGCCAAGGCAGGAGGATTGCTGGAGGCTAGGAGTTCAAGACTAACCTGGCCAACATAGCAGGACCCCATCTTTATAAAAAATAAAAAAAAAATTAGTTGGGCATGGTGGTACATGCCTGTGGTCCCAGCTACTTTGGAGGCTGAGGTAGGAGGATTGCTTGAGCCCAGAAGTTCGAGGCTGCCGTGAGCTACTATTGCACTACTACACTCCAGTCTGAGTGACAGAGACCCTGTCACCAAGAAAATTTGTTTACTAAATTTAAAAAAACAGTTTTTATTAATATCATCCGTAATATTTGTGTTAACAAAAACAATTCCAATTATATGTTTGGCAAGTGGGTCCTCCAATCTAGTAATAGCATAGTCTCTTTTTTTTCTTATATAGCAGGGCTCCCCTACCCCCAGGCTGAGGACTGGTACCAGTGTGTGGCCTGTAAC
Organism: Homo sapiens; assembly: GCF_000001405.40. Classification (NCBI taxonomy): domain Eukaryota; kingdom Metazoa; phylum Chordata; class Mammalia; order Primates; family Hominidae; genus Homo; species Homo sapiens. Next base: position 28,866,616 of record NC_000002.12, on the reverse strand, counting down.
AGGGAACCGGGCCACACAGCAGGTTAGCGGTGGGTAGTGAGCATTACTGCCTGAGCTCCATCTCTTGTCAGATCAGCCATGGCATTAGATTCTCATAGGAGTGCAAACTCTTGTGAACTGTGCATGCACCAGATCTAGGTTGCATGCTCCTTATAAGAAACTAACTAATGCCTGATGATCTGAGGTGGAACAATTTCATCCCAAAACCATCCCCCTCTCCCCAGTCTGTGGAAAAACTGTCTTCCACGAAACGGGTCCCTAGTGCCCAAAAGGTTGGGGACCGCTGTTATATAGTATCTTAATTCTAAATTAGAAGTTCATCATTTGGCCAGGCACGTTGGCTCACACCTGTAATCCCAGCACTTTAGGAGGCCGAGGCGGGCAGATCACCTGAAATCAGGAGTTTGAGACCAGCCTGGCCAACATGGTGAAACCCCATCTCTACTAAAAATACAAAAAATTAGCTGGGTGTGGTGGTGGGTGCCTGTAATCCCAGCTACTTGGGAGGCTGAAGCAGGAGAATCGCTTGAACCCAGGAGGCGGAGCTTGCAGTGAGCCAAGATTGTACCACTGCACTCCAGCCTGGGTGACAGAGCGAGACTCTGTCCCCCCAAAAATAAGAAGTTCATCATTTTGAGCTGGGCACACTGGCTCACACCTGTAATCCCAGCACTGTGGGAGGCTGAGGCGAGCGGATCACCTGAGGTCAGGAGTTCAAGACCAGCCTGGCCAACGTGGTGAAACCCCATCTCCACTAAAAATACAAAAATTAGCCGGGCATGGTGGCAGGCACCTGTAATCCCAGCTATTCGGGAGGCTGAGGCAGGAGAATCGCTTGAACCCGGGAGGCGGAGGTTGCAGTGAGCCAAGATCGTGCCATCACACTCCAGCCTGGGGGACAAGAGTGAGACTTCGTCTCCCAAAAAAAAAAAAAAAAAAAAAAAGGAAATTCATCATTTTATGCAGAGATTATATAGTAAATTCCTAACTGGTCTTCCTGCCTCTTGATTTTTCTCCAGTAGATCCTGTATTCTTCTGCCAGATTAATCCTCATAAAATGCCATTTATATCACCTCAGTGACACACCCTAGTTGCTTATCAGGCTGAGTTCTAATGCCTCATACTGGCATTTAATTCTCTGCCTATCTCTCCTGAGATAACAAACTGGATTTATTCTACCTCTGCTTTGTTTAAAGCTGTTTTTACCTTGTGATTGTTCCCATAAATTGTCTACTCTTTGTCTTTAAACTAGGCCATCCTGCTACTCTATGAACTTATTGTCTGTAATTTTGGTATTATTCTGAAGTGTTGCCTTATTTGTTAATTGATTCTTGGATCTCTTTTATTTCATCAAGTGAAATATAAACTGAAGGCAGGTCCAGAGTCTGATTCGTTTTTTCACTCCCTTCTTCTGCACACCCAACAATGTAAGATAAGACTAGGTGCTTAGTACATATTTATTGGTCGCTGAGTCACCCATACTGTTTTCAATCATAGGATATTAATATGATTCTCTCAATGATGGATATCAACCCAGGTGATACTGTTTTGGAAGCTGGCTCAGGCTCTGGTGGAATGAGCTTATTTTTATCCAAAGCAGGTAAGAGATTGGACTGAGCTGGATCTCAGTAACAAAGAAAACATTCAATTTGTTCATAATAACAGAAAGGTATAAAGATATTTGGGAAAATACCTAACATTGAGGTAGCATTCTCCTAGAATCTGAAAGTAAGCAACTATTTTTCTTTCCATTCTGTACATTTATTCCAGTCAGTCTCTTTCTAATCCTCCCTCAATTTTCTTTGCTTTGTTTTACTTTCTCCATGCTCTCTAATGCTGCTTCTTTTTTCTTAAGTATACTTTTTATTGGAATATAATATGGCTACAGAAAAGTGTGCAGATCATAAGTGTATATCTCAATGAATCTTTGTATAGTGACCACTCATGTACTTATTACCGAGATCAAGGTAGGGAGTGTCCCTGCCCCACAGATGCCTCCTCATGTCCCCTCCCAGTCCTTATCATCACCAAAGGAAACCACTATTGTGACTTTTATCATCACTGATTAGTTTTGCCTCCTTCGAACTTATATAAAATGGAATCATACAGTATGTGCTCCTTTGTATCTGGCTACTCTCATTCATTATTATGTTTGTGAGATTCACTCATTGCATGCAGCAGTAGTTCTTTCATTTTAGTTGCTGTATAATACTCTCTATTTAAATCACAATTTACCTATTTTACTGTTGATAGACATTTGAGTTGGATATTACAAATAGTGCTGCTTGGAACCTCCTTGTGTACTTGTCATGTTATTGTTGAATACTAGTGCCAGGTGAATACTTAGCCTGAGGGAATATGGAAGGACGTTGTCAGCTGTTGGGGGGAGAGTTATATATCGTTAGGGCCAAAGAATTATAGTAGGTGTTCATAAAGAAATTAATCATAGTACAGAGCTATTAAGTAAAAAGCTAGATCATGAAGAATTATCTTTTTTTTTTCCAGAAAGTCTCTAAAAATTGTCAGTTGGTAAAAGTACTGCTTGAAGGTGGGTGTCTGATCAAAAATCAAGAGGTGTATATTAAACATATATATTTTTTCATGTTCCTACCACTTAATTTCTAGTTACTTTTATGCTAGTTGATTAGTACCTCTTTGCCTACCTAATTTCTCTGAGTGTCAGGGTTGCTTTGGGTGGTCTGTCTGTGCAGTGTTCTCTTCCCTACATAATACTAGACTGCTGAATAGTCACAGTACTTTCTTTGAGTAGATTTTATAAAGATTACAGATAGAAATATGCTGAAATTAAACTCACACCTTTTGTTCTTTGACCTAATGTCTTCACATATGAATATTATCTAGATTATACTAAGCCGGTAAATTCATTCTGGGCTCCTCAATCAATCTTTTGTTTGACTTTTCTGTACATAGTTAAAGGCAGTCATTTTCTCATCATCTATGACAAATTCCTAACTGCACGGTTTCATTTGACAAAGTGGATTTATAAAAATTGGTGAGAACAGATAAGTGCCTATATTTCTAAAATATATAGTATCAGAAGAGTGTCATGGCTTGAATAATCCTAAACTATAAATGTGCAAGAACTTATTGCTATTTACCTATGTGATGGATATTTTTCTCCATATTTTCTTTTCCAGTTGTTTATGTTACTTTTTTTTTTTTTTTGAGGCGGGTTCTCACTCTGTTCCCCAGTTTGGAATGCAGTGGTATGATCGTGGCTCACTACAGCCTTGACCCTCGGAACTCAAGTGATCCTGTCGTCCCAGCCTCCCAAGTAGGTGGGACAATAGGCACATACCACCAAAGCTGGCTAATTTTTAAAGTTTTTGTAGAGACTGGGTCTCACTGTTGCCCAGGCTGGTCTTGAACTCCTGGCCTCAAGCAATCTTGCCTAAGCCTCCCAAAGTGCTGGGATTACAGGCATGGGGCACCACGCCCAGCTTATGTTACTATTAAAATTAATTTTTATCTCCTGAGAACCTGATAACTTGCAGTTGGAGTTACATTTCAAAAGATACCTTGGAATTTAAACTTCATTAGTAAACTGTAAACTGATTGATCTGGGATAATCTCCAAATGGTATCAAATCACTTCAGATAGAGGTGGGTGGAAAGTTAATTGCCTTAAGTTAAAATGTAGTACTCCTCTCTGGAATTGCAGTATTACTGTGCTAATTAGTTTAAAAGTTCTTCACATACACACACACACACACACACACACACACACACACAAATACAAATACCTTTAATTTTTTTTTTTTATTTTTTGGTAGAGACAGGGTTTCACCATGTTGGCCAGGCTGGTCTCGAACTCCTGACCTCAAGTGATCTGCCTGCCTTGCCCTCCCAAAGTGCTGGGATTACTGTGGCGAGCCACTGTATCCGGCCACAAATACCTTTTAAATATATGAAAGACTCAACCTCATCCATAATAAAAGAAATGCAAGTTAAAATTACATTAAAAGGCTGAGCATGGTGGCTCACGTCTGTAATCCCAGCACTTTGGGAGGCCGAGGCAGGCAGATTGCTTGAGCTCACGAGTTTGAGACCAGTCTGGCAACATGGCGAAACCCTGTCTCTACCAAAAATACAAAAAGTTAGCTGGGTGTGGTGGCACACACCTGTCGTCCCAGCTGTTCAGGAGGCTGAGGTGGGAAGATCGCTTGAGCCTGGGAGGTGGGGGTTGCCGTGAGCTGTGATTGCACCACCGCACTCCAACCTGCGTGACAGAGTGAGATCTTGTCTCAAAAAAAAAAAAAAAAACCAAACTCAAAAATCTACATTAAAAATGATAAACTTTATTCACTTTTTAGATTGATACAGATAAAAAGTTCAATAACTTAGGGAGAGTATGGAGATACAGGTATTCTTTTTTTTTTTTTTTTTTTTTTTGAGACGGAGTCTTGCACTGTCACCCAGGCTGGAGTGCAGTGGCGCATCTTGGCTCACTGCAATCTCTGCCTCCCAGGTTCACGCCTTTCTCCTGCCTCAGTCTCCCGAGTAGCTGGGACTACAGGCATGTGCCACAACACCTGGCTAATTTTTTGTATTTTTTTTAGTAGAGACAGGGTTTCACCGTGTTAGCCAGGATGGTCTCAATCACCTGACCTCATGATCTGCCCGCCTCGGCCTCCCAAAGTGCTGGGATTACAGGCGGGAGCCACTGCGACCGGCCTGAGATACAGGTATTCTAATACATTGCTGGTTGGCATATAAGTTGACACCACTTACGTGGAGGACAATGTAATATTATGTGAATAAATTCACATACCCCTTGAGCCAGCAATTCCATTTTTAGGACTTTATCCTGTAGAGATATACTGGCTTGATACAAAGACTTAGGTATAAGAATTTTCATTGCAGTATTGTTTATATTAGCATATGACTAGAAACAAGCTAAATGTTCATCGTAGCCATACAGTGAATATAATGCCTGTTAAAAAAGAATGCAGTACATCTAGAAGCACTGAAATGACATTGGTAAGTAAGAAGGAAGGTACAGGACAGTGTGTATAATACACCACAGTGTGTATTAAAAACACAGAGAGATACTTGGCATGCTTGTATAGGCAGTGACTATCATGGGAAAGGTAAATAGCTGGTAATGTGGTTGCCTCTGAAGAGGGAGGGAGATTAATTGGAGATCAGGGATAGGAGATCAGACTTGTAACATTGAACTATTTGAATTATTTTTTTCACATACATGTAGTACCTTTGCAAAATACATTTTTGACACTTTTTAATAAACTGATTAATATTATGAAATATCAAATTATTTTTTACTTAAGTTGGATCACAAGGACGAGTCATAAGTTTTGAGGTACGAAAAGACCACCATGATCTGGCTAAGAAGAATTACAAACACTGGCGTGATTCATGGAAATTAAGTCATGTAGAAGAGTGGCCAGACAATGTGGATTTTATTCATAAGGACATTTCAGGAGCAACCGAAGACATAAAATCTTTAACATTTGACGCAGTAAGTTTTCTAACGTGGGTCCTGTGTTATTACTTTGACTATAAAGAAGATAGGGGTCAGGCTTCTTTTGTATGGGCAAAGGTCTTCCTTCGTTTGCTTCATGTCTATCTCTAGGGATTGAAAGAATATTTTCGTTTCATGCCTTTTAATCTCATGGTGGGATTTGGGACAGAGAGACATACTGAGTTACCGAGTTGGGTGCTGAAGTTGTCATTGAATGTGGGGTAATGACTGAAAGCTAGGACCAAAGACTAGTTGAGCATCATGAACCTCAGCATTTCTAGGATGAATCATACTTTGGAAGCAGCATTGGAAGCATATTGAACCCGGCACCTAACCTGAACTGTGAGATTTGGGGGAATAAGTAGCTTCCATTTGACAGGGAATAGGCAGAAGGCATCTTTAGTTAGTTGAAGTCAGGATATCAAGGGGAGTGTGTTCATTGAAGATGTCGAGGACAGAGGTGTTTATCATGAACAAAGCTCCAGAAAGTGGAGCAGAGACATTGTGAGGAAGAGAAACACTGGGAAGTTGACTTAGGGAAAAGAAGCAGAGAAGATGAAAGTAAAAAGATAGATGACAAGAGAGGATACATTAAGCTGCGATCAAACATGGTGGAGATCTGGGACATGGAAGTATTTGCTGGCTGAAGAGTTTCAGAATTCCTTGGTGATGCCACTTCACAGTTCATAGCTTCACACTATGGACTGAGGCCTTGGTTAGGAGTCTTTCTTCCTTTCCTTAATTGGCTGCTGGAAGGATGGACTGTTTTGGTGAGAAATGAAGCAAAGTTCAAAGAGGAGAGAAAATCTTTTTTTTTTTTTTTTTTTTTTTTTTTTTTTTTTGGCAACAGAGTCTCATTCTGTTGCTTAGGGTGGAGTGCAGTGGTACAGTCTCAGCTCACTGCAACCTCCGCCTGCCGGGTTCAAGCGATTCTCCTGCCTCAGCCTCCCAAGTACCTGGGATTACAGGTGCACGCCACCATGGCCAGCTAATTTTTGTATTTTTAGTAGAGATGGGGTTTCACCATGTTGGCCAGGCTGGTCTCGAACTCCTAACCTTAGGTGATCTGCCCATCTCAGTCTCCCAAAGTGCTGGGATTACAGGCATGAGCCACTGTGCCTGGCCATGAAAATGATTTTTATCAGCACTGGCTTCCAGCTCTGATATAACTAAAACCTATAGTTTTAGTGGCACAGCTTCCTGTACAGAAAGACCTCAGTTCTTTTTTCTCATTTATGGCTTGCATGTTACAGCTCAATAAGGGGGAAAGAGCTCTGTTTAGGTCATCCATAGGAATGTCAAAAATACCTGCGAGATTAAATTGGTCATCAGAATTTTGCTTGATGAGCATGAAACACAACAAAGGATTTTAATGATATCATTGAAGCTTTGTAGAAACCTGCTGAACCATTCCTGATCTAAAAAGAACACTCTTTTTTAGATTTATTCAGCTGAATCTCTCTTGAATAATAGTGCCAGATGATTACTCAATATGAGGGAATAGAGAAGGAGAGGGGGTGTCAGCTGCTGGGGGAGAGTTATATACCGTTAGGACCAAAGAATTATAGTTGGTGTTCATAAATAATTATAATACAGAACTGTTAAGTAGAAGCTAGATCATGAATAATTTCCTTTTCTTAAGAACGTTTCTAAAAATTGTACATTGGTAAGAGTACTGCTTGAGGGTTGGTGTTTGATCAAAGATCAAAAGGCATATGTTAAACATAAATCTCTGGCAGGGCACAGTGGCTCACGCCTGTAATCCCAGCACTTTGGGAGGCCGAGGCAGGCGGATCTCCTGAGGTCAGGAGATGGAGACCATCCTGGCTAACACGGTGAAACCCCGTCTCTACTAAAAATATAAAAAATTAGCCGGGCGTGGTGGCGGGTGCCTGTGGTCCCACCTACTCGGGAGGCTGAGGCAGGAGAATGGCGTGAACCCGGGAGGCGGAGCTTGCAGTGAGCCGAGATCGCGCCACTGCACTCCAGCCTGGGTGACAGAGCGAGACTGCATCTCAAAAAAGAAAGAAAGAAAGAAAGAAAAATACAAGAATTAGCCAGGCATGGCGGTGGGCGCCTACAATCCCAGCTACTTGGGAGGCCGAGTCAGGAGAATCGCTTGAACCTGGGAGGCGGAGGTTCCAGTGAGCCAAGATTTGCGCCACTGCACTCCAGCCTGGGAGACAGAGCAAGACTCTATCTCAAAAAAAACAGAAAAGAAATAAACAAATATGTATGTATAGATGTGTATTTCTGATACTGTCATTCTCCTGCTGAAAAAATCCGGAGCTTTTCTTTTTTTTTTTTTTTTTTTTTTTTTGAGACGGAGTCCTGCTCTTTCGCCCAGGCTGGAGTACAGTGGTATGATCTTGGCTCACTGCAACCTCCGCCTCCCGGGTTCAAGCGATTCTCGTGCCTCAGCCTCCTGAGTAGCTGGGATTACGGGCGCCCGCCACCATGGCTGGCTAGTTTTTGTGTTTTTAGTAGAGATGGGGTTTCACCATGTTGCCTAGGCTGGTCTCGAACTCCAGGGCTCAAGCGATCCACCCGCTTCAGCTTCCCAAAGTGCTGGGATTACAGGCGTGAGCCACGGCACCTGACCCGGAGCTTTTCATTCAAAGACTTCTGGTGGCCAGATCTGATCTGAACCTTCCTTTCTCTAGTCCTTTATGTAACCTGACTCCATACATGCCAACCAAAATGATGCTAAATGAATAAAAAAGGTGTTAAACCATTAAAAAAAATAGAAAAAAGAGCATGACTAATAAAAGAATTAGCCGGGCGCAATGGCTCACACCTGTAATCCCAGCACTTTGGGAGGCCGAGGCGGGCAGATCACAAGGCCAGGAGATCAAGACCATCCTGGCTAACATGGTGAAACCCCATCTCTACTAAAAATACAAAAAATTAGCCGGGCCTGGTGGCGGGTGCCTGTAGTCCCAGCTACTGGGGAGGCTGAGGCAGGAGAATGGCCTGAACCCGGGAGGCGGAGCTTGCAGTGAGCCGAGATGGCGCCACTGCACTCCAGCCTGGGCGAGAGTGCGAGACTCCGTCTCAAAAAAAAAAAAAAAAAGAATTAAACAAATTTTGGAAACAGCTTAACCATCAAAAGAGAATAGACACAATGGAATACTAACAATAAATGTACTCTAGCTACATCAATAAATCTGAAAGACTTGGTGTTTGGTGGAAAAAGCATTATAAGAGAATATGTGAAATGACCGCCTACATGTAAAATTTAAAACTACACAACATGTATTGTTTGTAGCTATATACATATGTTGTAGAAGTATAAAATTTGGGAATGTTACCAACTTCAGGACAATGACTCTTTCTGAGGAGAGAAAAGGAAGGGAAAGGAATAGAGGGAAATAAGTTTGGGGTCCATTCAGATTGGTCCACTGCCGGGCTCCATAATCGCCAGTGTAACCTTGGGTAAGTCACTTAATCTTTCCATGCCTCGGTTACCTCATGTATTAAACAGGAATGATAATAGTACCTATTTCATAGAGTTGTTGAGGATTAAATAAGAGAATTCATGTAAAGTACCTGGTACATAGTAAGCACTGAATAAATGTTAGTTATGTTTTTCATCATTTTGATTTTCTTCCTTTCCTCTTTTCTCTGCCTGTTTAAACTCTATTCTCCCTTTAAAGCTTAAAGGTCATCTCCTGTGTGAAATATCCTTTCATCATCTAGCCAGAGGATTATTACCTTCCTCTGAATTTCTGAACCACTTTGTTTCTGGAGTCAACAGGCATTTATTAAGAACCTGCCATGTGTCGTGTGCTGTGCTAAGACAAAAATTATACATTCAAAAGAGCTTTTGAAAACAAAAAATGAATAAGAAATATTAAAAAATTAAAAAAAAAATAGCTGTGGGCCAGGCATGATGGTTCATGGCCGTAATCCCAGCACTTTGGGAGGCTGAGATGGGTGGATCACTTGAGGTCAGGAGTTTGAGACCAACCTGGCTAACATGGTGAAACTCTGTCTCTACTAAAGGTATAAAAATTAGCTGGGTGTGATGGTGCAAGCCAGTAATCCCAGCTACTTGGGAGGCTGAGGTAGGAGGATCGCTGGAACCCAGGAGGCAGAGGGTGCAGTGAGCTGAGATTGTGCCACTGCACTTTAGCCTAGGTGACAGAGCAAGACTCTGTCTCAAAAATTAAATTAAATTGGCCAGGCGCAGTGGTTCATGCCTGTAATCCCAGTACTTTGGGAGGCCAAGGCGGGCGGATCATGAGGTCAGGAGTTCGAGACCAGCCTGGCCAACATGGTGAAACCCTGTCTCTGCTAAAGATAAAAAAAAATTAGTTGGGTGTGGTGGCGCATGCCTGTAATCCCAGCTACTCGGGAGGCTGAGGCAAGAGAATCTCTGGAAACCGGGAGGCGGAGGTTGCAGTGAGCTACGATCGCACCATTGTACTCCAACCTGGGCGACAGGATGAGACTCCATCTCAAAAAAAAAAAATTTAATTAAATAAGATAAAATGAAATAGACATATGAGCAATTACTAAAAAGACTCAGAAGTATAAAACACCATGGCTGTAGAACTTGGTATGAGGAGATGAGTCTGTAAATGCAGTCATGAGGGGCTAGATAATAAAGAAAGTTGTGTATATATCAAGCTGGATAGTATGGACATTATCTTGTAAGTAGGAGAGTAGACTGTCTAGATTTCTGTTTTAGAATAGTTCTGGAGAAAGAATGGAGGCTGGGAGTCTATGCAGAAAGGTATTATAATATTTCAACAAGATATGGTGAGGTGTTGACCTAAGTCAATGTCTGTGGGATTAATTTCAGAAACACTGGAGGTAGATTTGTGAGACTTTAATTCAAACAGAAGCACCAAAACCCCAGAGTCTCAAAAGAGAATTCAAGGTAAAGAAAATGATGGCTTCTTGATTAGGCTTTGAAAAAAGAAAATGATGACTCTTAAGTTTCTGGTTTGAGTAACTGGATAAATGCTGTTAACTGAGAATTGAGCATTCAAGATTTGCAGTTTTCTGGGTTATCTGACTTTGGTCCTTGTCAATAATATAGTAAAACTACAGTCTGAGAACCCATTTATGTCATCATGTTGACCCTTGATTGTCATTGAAATCTTGACTTGGATATTTATTTATTTATTTATTTATTTGAGATGGAGTCTCACTCTGTTGCCCAGGCTGGAGTGCAATGGCGTGATCTCGGCTCACTGCAATCTCTGCGTCCCTGGTTCAAGCATTTCTCCTGTCTCAGCCTCCTTTGTAGCTGGGACTACAGGCACCCGCCACCATGCCCAGCTAATTTTTTTGTATCTTTAGTAGAGACAGGGTTTCACCATGTTGGCCAGGTTGGCCTCGAACTCCTCACCTAAGGTGATCCACCCGCCTCGGCCTCCCAAACTGCTTGGATTACAGGTGTGAGCCACCATGCCTGGCCTTGACTTGGATGTTTAATAGGCATCTTAAATACATGTCCAAACCTGAATTCTTATTTCCCCCAAGCTTGCTCCTCCCATAATCTTCATCATTTTCCTCATTAGTAAATGACACCTCCATTCTTTCGGTGGCTTAGGCTAAAAACTTTGGATTCAGTTTTCTTTTTCTCACATCCTACAGCCAATTCTAATTCTAATTGGCTCTGTCTTCAAAATATATACCACTTCTTACCACACCCACTGCTCTTTGCTATTACAAGCCACTGTCATCCTTCCTTGCATTCTCAGTGTTTTCTGCATGTAGATTTTAAAGTGAGTCAGAGTATACTTAATGACAGTGAATTGTATACTTAAAATGGCAATGTTTATTTTACCACACACAAAAATAGTTTTTTAAAAAAGTTCAAATCATGTCAATCTTTAAAATTCTTCAGTGGCTTCTCAATTGAGTAAAGCTAAAGCCTGCATGATTCTATGTAATCTGTGTCCACCACCTTCGATGTCATCTCTTACCACTTGCCCCCTTTTATCTCCACTGCAGTGACAGTGGCCTCAACAGACTCCCCAAGTAGCCTACTACCTGAGTGTTTGTATTAAATATTTGCTGTTCCCTCCACCAGGAGCTCACTTCTCCCCTACATTTTCATGGGTTAAACTTAATTTTATTTTCTTCAGGTCTCTTCACTGACCAGTCTATGTATAAAATGACACCTCCTTTCCCTGACCTGTCCCTTTCTTTCCCTCTTTCTCTGCTTATTTTGTTTGTTTTGAGATAGGGTCTTATCCTGTCACCCAGGCTGGAGTGCAGTGACACAATCACAGCTCACTGCAGCCTTGATTTCTCAAGCCCAGGTGATCCTCCCTCCTCAGCCTCCCAAGTGGCTGGAACCACAGGAGCATGCCACCACGCCTGGCAGTTTTTTTTTTTTTTTTTTTTTTTTTTTTTTTTTGAGACGGAGTCTCGCTCTGTCGCCCAGGCTGGAATGCAGTGGCCTGATCTCTGCTCACTGCAACTCCGCCTCCTGGGTTCAAGCTATTCTCCTGCCTCAGCCTCCTAAGTAGCTGGGATTACAGGTGTGCACCACTGTACCTGGCTAATTTTTGTATTTTTAGTAGAAACGGGGTTTCGCCGTGTTGGCCAGGCTGGTCTTGAACTCGTGACCTCAGGTGATCCGCTCACCTCGGCCTCGCAAAGTGCTGGGATTACAGGCATGAGCCACTGCACCCTGCCATTTTTTTTATTTTTATAAATGCGGGGTCTCACTGTGTTGCCCATGCTGGTCTGGAACTCCTGGCTCAAGCAATCCTCCTCCCTTGGCTTCCCAAAGTGCTGGCATTACAGGCATGAGTTACCACGCCTATTCTGCTTTATAACTGTTTTTCTTCATGTCACTCACCACCCTCTGTCCTATTTATTTATATGTTTTCTTATTTTTGTTTAATGTCTACCCCTTCATTAGATCCCGTGAAACAGACTATAAGCTCCAACTATATCCTTACCACTTAGAAAAATGTTTGCCATGTAGACAGTGCTTAATAAATATTTGGTGAATAAATTAATAAGATGTCCCTTGACTGATTAGTACTGTTTTTAAAAGACACAAACAATCTAATATTTTATCATTTAGTAAATAGATATGCCAGCATATCTCTAAGCTTTCTGGAGTTAATACAACAGTAAATGTTACTTTATTTTCTATTTTGACCAGATTTATTTTTTGTTTTTAATTAATTTTTTATTTGAAAAATTTTCACTTATCTTTGTACTTACTGGCATCTTCTGTGACTATAGCCATGTATACTGCAATTGAAACAAGAATAAAGAGGAAATAAGGGATATGATTTTTTTTTTTGAGACAGAATCTCACTCTGTCACCCAGGCTTGAGTGCAGTGGTTTAATCTTGGCTTACTGCAACCTCTGCCTCCCGGGTTCAAGTAATTGTCCTGCCTCAGCCTTCCCAGTAGCTGGGACTATAGGTGTGCACCACCACACCTGGCTAATTTTTGTATTTTCAGTAGAGACAGGGTTTTGCCATGTTGGCCAGGCTACTCTCAAACTCCTGACCTCAGGTGATCCACCCGCCTGGGCTCCCAAAGTGCTGGGATTATAGGCGTGAGCCACTGCCTCTGGCCAACAATGTGAATTTCTGTTGCCAAAGCTGAAATAAAGCATTTAAATTTATAAGTTTTGGCAATAGAAATTCACATTGTCAGCCAGGTGCAGCGGTTCACATCTGTAATCCCAGCATTTTGGGAGGCCGAGGCGGGCAGATCGCTTGAATCCAGGAGTTCAAGACCAGCCTGGGCAACATGGCAAAACCTGTATCTACATAATATACAAAAAGTTAGCTGAGAATGGTGGCGCCTGCCTGTAGTCTCAGCTACTCGAGAGGCTGAGGTGGGAGGGTTGCTTGAGTTCAGGAGGTGGAAGTTGCAGCGAGGTGACATTGTGCCACTGTACTCCAGCCTGGTCAACAGAGCGAGACCCTGTCTCAAAAAAAAAAAAAGGAAATTCACATTGTCTCAAATGTTTAAATTTTTCATGTTGTAATGGCGTGTTTTACACTTGGCAATATTGATAATACAGGCATACAGGAATCTTTCTTTGGTTATATTCATATATACATACATAGCCAAATCAATATTTCCATATTAATATGCAAAGTACAAGACATATCATTATGATTTTTCAGTATCATCAAGTACTATGACAAATTGTTTTTTCTTCCCTGAGACAGGATCTCACTCTTGCCCAGGGTGGAGTATGATGGCACAGTCATAGGTCACTACAGCCTCGAACTCCTAGGCTCCAGTGACCCTCCCACCTCAGCTTCCTGAATAGCTGGTACTACGGGCTTGTGCCACTGCATCCAGCTACTTTTTTTTTTTTTCAATAGAGTCAGAGTCTCGCTATGTTGCCTGGGCTGTTCTCAAACTCGGCCTCAAATGGATCCTCTTGCCTCAGCCTCCCAAAGTGTTGGGATTACAGGCAGAAGCCACATTGCCCAACTGTATAATAATTAACATACCCTTTTGGGAGTGGTAAAATGATAGTTAATAATACTACCTTCTAAAAAATGAAATACTTTGATTGCTGTCCAAAAGTGTGTCATTTCACCACAATAAGAAAACTTATGCTTTATTTAAACGGAATCAGACTGATCCAGTTCTCTTTTTCCCCCACACAGGTAGCTTTGGATATGTTAAATCCTCATGTTACTTTGCCTGTTTTTTACCCACATCTTAAGCATGGTGGTGTATGTGCTGTATATGTAGTAAAGTGAGTAATATAACTGTTTTTCTTTGTAATGTAACTTTTAAGTGCACTTTTGCTTAAGTATCAAACTAAATTTTTTTTTTTTTTTTTTTTTTTTTGAGACAGAAAAAAACTCTGTCACCCAGGTTGGAGTGTAGTGGTATGATCTCAGCTCACTGCAACCTCCACCTCCCCTGTTCAAGCAATTATCCTGCCTCAGCCTCCCAAGTAGCTGGGGTTACAGGCGCCCGCCACCACGCCCGGCTGATTTTTTCTATTTTTGGTAGAGAAGGGGTTTCACCATGTTGGCCAGGCTGGTCTTGAACTCCTGACTTCAGGTGATCTGCTCACCTGGTCTCCCAAGGTGCTGGGCTTACAGGCTTGAGCCACCACGCCCAGCCAAAATATTCATTTTGTAACTGAATAAAGTGTATATGGCATCTTATACAACTGTTTTAAAATGACAAGTCCCAAGTTCATTTATATTACTGTATATTTATTTAGTGTTTTTTTTTTTTAAACTTTTTTCGTTTTTTTTTTTTTTTTTTTTTTTGAGACAGAGTCTCGCTTTGTCACCCAGGCTGGGGTGCAGTGTCATGATCTCAGCTCGCTGCAACCTCCGCCTCCTGGGTTCAAGTGATTCTCCTGCCTCAGCCTCCTGAGTAGCTGGGATTACAGGTATGCGCCACCACACCCGGCTAATTTTTGTATTTTAGTGGAGACAGGGTTTCACCATGTTGGCCAGGCTGGTCTGGAACTCCTGACCTCAAGTGATCTGCCCCCCTCAGCCTCCCAAAGTGCTGGGATTACAGGCGTGACCCACGCCCAACCCTATATTACTGTTTAAATCATTTTTTACATAAATAGTAATATAAGATGCATATTTTCTTCTGACAATCTGGAAGAAATGTTTTAAAAGTATAATGTGAACAGTAATGTTAAATTATGGTCTCTGTGTTTGTTTACTTAGAATTTTGTGAAGGTACTTTTTATGCCTCCTAACTTGCATATTTAAACCCTCTCCTGCCTTAATTTAACTATGGTATTTAAATGTGGGCAAGAGGTATAGGGAACTTAAATAAATATAATGTTATTATTTTAGTAGAAATGTAAATTTTTCACTTTTCTGAAAGCATCACACAGGTTATTGAACTTTTAGATGGAATTCGCACCTGTGAACTTGCTCTTTCATGTGAAAAGATAAGCGAGGTCATTGTCAGAGATTGGTTGGTTTGCCTTGCAAAACAGAAAAATGGAATTTTAGCTCAAAAAGTAGAATCTAAAATCAACACAGATGTACAACTAGATTCTCAAGAGAAAATTGGAGTTAAAGGTGAGCTGTTTCAAGAGGATGACCATGGTGAGCTTCAGTTTTACTTTATGCATGCAGTAATGAATGGAGAATGAGTTCCTGAGTATACTGACCAATAGATTATAAAAATATTCCTCAGCAATTTTCTATAGAAAAGTGTGATATTTATTCTGTTAAGATGTATAAGGCACAGAATAATGACTTTTCCTGCCTTTTACTTAAAACTCTGATACCTTTGAAGAATTGAGCTTTTTATAATATTCATATTTTACTTGTCACAAGGAGCTTGGTTTGTGAAATAATTTAAATGTATTAAGGATGTTTTATATTTAGATCACTGATTATTAATGGGACCTGATAGGCAAATAGCTAATATTCCAAAAAGCAACTTCTAAGATGCTGCTGGAATTCTTGAAAGAACTGAGTTTAGGTCTTTGTCATATATACACATTATTTAGGCCATGAACAAGTTTTCAAGTATCAGTTGATTTATGATATAGGCTTATCCATTTGGTTATAAAATCATATGTTTATTACATAATCATTGACAAATAGTTTCTGTATAATAACTGGCAGAGTAGCTCTAAAACATATGCAAGGAAATAAATAAAGAAAAAACTTACAATAAAGAGAGTAACTCATATTTTAACAGTTTTGTGAAAAAAATAGAAAATATTTTATGTAGCTTATAGTACATATATTTTTTTACAACAGAAGAATCGCATTCTGATTTTCCATATGGATCATTTCCCTATGTTGCTAGACCAGTACACTGGCAACCTGGTCATACAGGTGAGTAATGTTTTCAGAACATATTAAATGGTGTTTTTTCTTTTAATTAATATAATGACTTTATGTTTTTCTTCTCTTAAATTAGCTTTTCTTGTCAAGTTGAGGAAGGTCAAACCACAACTTAACTGAGTACTCCAGATGACAGTAACTGACTTGAAGATGGAAAAATATCAAAATAGAACTTTATATTGAAAATCACTGCTTCCATAGATTGGCATTTTTAGCTATTACTATGACTTATATAACTTATACATATAATTTTGAAAATAACAACTAAAAGATGTATAACATAGCAAAACTGCTTAAACATCCCATTTTGACACTTGTCTTGCAGTTAGTTTGACATTTTGTAGTTAATGATTCCAAATTGGTTTAGTTGGGCCATCTCATTCTTCACTTCCTGTAAACCACTCCATAGATTTGTCTTTCTTCAAGAAATTAGTTTTCTTTCCTTTATTTGATTGATGGTCATTGACTACTGAAATAAAATATGCATTTTAAGATAAATTTTATGTATCTGTCCATTTTAAATACATCTTATAATGGCTTGTATATGTCTTAAAAAATAATAAGGAAATCTGGGCTACAGTAAATAATGGGGGGAAACTTAAGAATGATATAATCACCTTAAAAATTGTAACAAAAGATGTAACAGGCTCTTGAATCTCTTTTATCCCCTCAGAATCTTTTTAACCAGCTTGAAAGAACATTAGAATTATTCAGTGTTACTACACAAATTAAATGTTTGGGGGCTGGGCACAGTGGCTCACGCCTTTGGGAGGCCAAGGCAGGCAGATCACCTGAGGTCAGGAGTTCGAGACTAGTCTGGCCAACATGGCAAAACCTTGTCTCTACTAAAAATACAAAAATTAGCTGGTTGTGGTGGCGGGCACCTGTAATCCCAGCTACTTGGGAAGCTGAGGCAGGAGAATCGCTTAAACCTGGAAGGCGAAGGTTGCAGTGAGCTGCGACTGTGCCACTGCACTCCAGCCTGGGTGACAGGGCGAGACTCCATCTTAAAAAAAAAATGTTTGGGGAATACATTTTGGAAACATGAATTAATTACAAATGGGACTTATTATTCATAGGCACCAGTTATTTAGCACTTACCACATACCATACATTGTTTTGAAAACTTTATATATGTTTTTCACTTACTATGGACAACTTATCTTTCAGGTTATCCATATTTTACAGATAAACAGTGACTTAGAATGATTAGGTCTCTGTTTAAATATAGATGTTTTATAGGTTTTTAGTTGTGTGTGTGTGTTTTTTTTTTTGAGACAGATTCTCATTCTGTCACATAGGCTGGAGTGCAGTGGCGTGATCATGGCTCATTGCAGCCTCAATCTCCCAGGATCAAGCAAGCCTCCCACCTCAGCTTCCCATGTAGTTGGACTACAGGCACATGCCACCACGCCCAGCCAATTTTTGTGGATTTTTTGGTAGAGACGGGGTTTGTCATGTTGCCCAGGCTGGTCTCAAACTCCGAAGCTCAAGCAGTCCTTCTGCCTTGACCTCCCAAAGTGCTGGGATTATAGGTGTGGAGCCACCATGCCCGGCCTGTTTTATGGGCTGTAAAATAGTAATGCCTTGGAGGGTAAATGCTACCATTCCTAGATTTATCTCTTAGGCTAGAAGTATTTAAAATTATACATGTGTGTAAATTTTTTATTAAATAACATATTATAGAACGTAGGACATTTTAAAGTAAAATCTCTGCCTTTTTAGAGTTTATAGTCTATGATAGAGCTTGACATTAATCACACAGATGTAAAACTAAAACTGTTATAAATTCCCCCCAAAGAAGTACAAGGTACTATGAGTAACCATAATGGGGGACTTTGCCCTAGCAAGTGACAATTGAGCTGAGAACTGAATGCTAAGTAGGAATTAACTACAGCAGGGAAAATGGGAATAAAAAGTGATGCTGGGGTAGAGTGGAAAAGACTGGATAGATAGATGGGGATGAGGCCATGCAAGTTCTCATATGCCCGTGAAGGAATTGGTGTATCCTAAGAAAAATGGGATTCCATTGAAGAATTTAAGTAAGGGGTGACATGTTTAGATCTGTGTTTTGAAAATCACTCTGGCTGCATTTAGACAAGTGATTGAATCAGGAGCAGAGTATTCTGGTGGTATATTTCTGTATGTAACTAGCTGAACATTTATATAATAATGATGCCTTTATAGCTTTTATAACATTTCCAGATACAGTTATACATTGCTTAACAGTGGCAGTACATTCTGTTAAATGCATAGTTGGGCAGTTTCATCATTGTGTGAACATTACATAGTGTACTTACACAAACCTAGGTGGTATAGCCTACTACACACCTAGGTTATATGGTATAGCCTACTACTTCTAGACTGCAAACCTGGATAGCATGTTACTGTACTAACTACCATTCGCATTTATAAGACAATGGTAAGTATGTGTGTATCTAAACATAGAAAAGGTACTGTGTTGCAGTACAGGTCTATGATGTCAGTAGGTGATAGGAATTTTTCAGCTCCATTATAATCTTTCCTTCCATCCTTCTTCTTTTCTTTTCTTTTTCTTTTTCTTTTTTTTTTTTGAGACAGAGTCTTGCTCTGTTGCCCAGGCTGGAGTGCAGTGACACGATCTTGGCTCACTGCAACCTCCAACTCCCAGGTTCAAGCAATTCCCCGGTCTCAGCCTCCCGAGTACCTGTGATTACAGGTATGTGCCATCACGCCCGGCTAATTTTTGTATTTTTTTAAGAGACAGGGTTTCACCATGTTAGCCAGGCTGGTCACAAACTCCTGACCTTAAGTGATCCATCCACCTGCCTCGGCCTCCCACAGTTCTAGGATTACAGGTGTGAGCCACCATGCCCAGCCATTATAATCTTAGGGGAACACCATCCTGTATGCAGTCCCACCTTGAGTGAAATGTCATTATGTGGCGCATGACTATATAGAAGCTCTGAAGTGTTTGTTTGTTTGTTTGTTTGTTTTGAGACAGAGTCTCGCTCTGTTGCCCAGACTGGAGTGCAATGGCATGGTCTTGGCTCACTGCAACCTCCACCTCCTAGGTTCAAGCAATTCTCCTGTCTTAGCCTCCCAAGTAGCTGGGATTACAGACACACGCTCCCACGCCTGGCTAATTTTTGTATTTTTAGTAGAGATAGGGTTTCACCATGTTGGCCAGGCTGATCTCAAACTCCTGACCTCAGGTGATCCACCCGACTCAGCCACCCAAACTGCTGGGATTACAGGAATGAGCCACTGCACGTGGCCTGAAGTCCATTTTTTAATTCCATCATGGAATACTCCCTTTTCTTCTACCCTTCTATTTAGCTAGTAATGAAATTATGTTATTCATTTAATGCTTTGAATGCCTATTTTGTGTCAATCCCCAATTGTCTACTTTGAGAAGGGGCTGGCTTAAGAGCCAAGAAAAGTTCTGCCCTTGGCTCCTGTTTCATGGAGAATACATTGTTTCTGTTTGGCACATGGTGCTCAGTAGATGTTGAATTGAACAAGACCTTTTTAACAGTATCCATTCATTTCCCCTCACTTCCCTTTGTGTGTGTGTGTGTGTGTGTGTGTGTGTGTGTGTGTGTGTGTGTGTGTGTAGTTTTCTTCTATTTCTCTTCTTTTTCTTTGGTAGTTGTCCATTCTAGTCAATCAAGGCCCAGCTTAAGCTCTTTCTTCAGCCTTCCTCCAAACAATAAGTATGTTTACAGTCTGGTTTATGGGACAGATACCTTCTAATGTTAGCCTTCTATGTCTATGTCTGGCTGTCCTGTAAACTAAAGATTTGAGACTGACCGAAAACTGTCATCCCAATGCCTTCCAGAGGCCCTACCTTTTATACCCAGTAAATAGTCACTAAAACTTTCCTGATGTCTTTAAACCTACACTGGATCATGTTTTTGTTTTTGTTTTTTGAGATGGCATCTAGCTCTGTCACCCAGGCTGGAGTGCAGTGGTGCAGTCTCAGCTCACTGCAACCTCCACCTCCCAGGTTCAAGCAATTCTCCTGCCTCAGTCTCTGGAGTAGCTGGAATTACAGGCATGCACCACCACCACGCCTGGCTAATTTTTCTATTTTTAGTAGAGATGGGGTTTCACCATGTTGGCCAGGCTGGTCTCGAGCTCCTGACCTCAAGTGATCTGCCCGCTTCAGCCTCCCAAAGTGCTGGGATTACAGGCGTGAGCCACCATGCCCAGCCAAGGGTCATGTATTGTTTTATCTGTTGACTTGGTTGTTCTAGAGGGAAATTTAGGTATACATAGTATATAGTTCTGCGATTGTGGGAGGCTTTCATTTTGAACTTCATATTTTCAGAGGCAGTGGGAACTTCTGAAGTTTCTATGGTCATGTAAAAGGTATTTTAAGTTAATCTGTTAGTGGTGTCTATGAGAATTTAACTGGAGGAAAAAACTGTTAAATCAGAGCTTTCATAGTAATACATATATAAGGTGATTAATCGTAGAAAATGAGCAGACAGGTCGGGCGCGGTGGCTCACGCCTGTAATCCCAGCACTTTGGGAGGCTGAGACAGGTGGATCACCTGAGGTCAGGAGTTCGAGACCAGCCTGACCAACATGGTGAAACCCTGTCTCTACTAAAAATACAAAAACTAGCTGGGCATGGTGGAGCATGCCTGTAATCCCAGCTACTGGGAAGGCTGAGGCACAAGAATTGCCTGAACCCAGGAGATGGAGGTTGCAGTGAGCTGAGATCGCACCATTGCACTCCAGCCTGGGCAACAAGCAAAACTCCATCTCAAACAAACAAAGAAAGAAACAAAATATTATGAAAGAACAACCAGATAAGCTGGTAATTCATTGGATGCAGAGAGAAAATTTATATATCGAGACTTTTTGACTTACAATGGAGTTATGTCCCAATAAACTCTTGTAACTTGAAGATATCATTAAGTCAAAATGCATTTGGGCCAGGTGCAGTGATTTACATCTGTAACCCCACCACTTTGGGAGGCCAAGGTGGGAGGATTGCTTGAGGTCAGGAGTCCGAGACCAGCACCAGTCTGGGCAACATAGGAAGTCTCTACAAAAAAAAAAAGAAAAAAAAAAAAAAAGCTGGGCATGGTGGCACGTGCCTGTAGTGCCAGCTACTCAGGAGGCTGAGGTGGGAGGATCACTTGAACAGAGGAGGTTGAGGCTACAGTGAGCTGTGATCACATCACTACACTCCAGCCCAGGTGACAGAGCAAGATCCTGGCTGGTGGGGGAAAAAAGCATTTGGCTGGGCACAGTAGCTCACTCTTGTAATCCCAGCACTTTGGCAGACAGAGGTGGAGGATTGCTTAAGGCCAGGAGTTCATGACCAGCCTGGGCAATGTGAGACCCCATCTCTATTTTTAAAAAATGTTTTTATTTTATTTTTTTCTTTTTTGAGATGGAGTCTCACTCTGTTGCCCAGGCTGGAGTACAGGGGCATGATTTTGGCTCACTGCAACCTCCGCCTCCCGGGTTCAAGCAATTCTCCTGTCTCAGCCTCCCGAGTAGCTGGGACTACAGGCACCCGCACCATGCCCAGCTAAATTTTGTATTTTCAGTAGAGATGGGGTTTCACCATATTGGTCAGGCTGATCTCGAACTCCTGACCTCAGGTGATCCACCCGCCTCGGCCTCCCAAAGTGTTGGGATTACAGATGTGAGCCACCGCGCCCAGCAAAAAATATTTTTAAAAAGATGCGTTTAATACAGCTAACCACCGAACATCACAGCTTAGCCTAGCCTACCTTAGTGTGCTCAGAACGCTTACATTAGGCTACAGGTGGGCAACATCATCTGGCAATGCGGTACACTGTCGAAAATCAGTTGTTTACTCTCATGATTTCATGGCTGCCTGGAAGCTGCAGCTCACTGCCTCTGCCCAGCATCAAGAGAGACCATGATACAGCTTTCCACTGAATGTGTATAGCAACCATAGGTAAGTCAAGGACCAGCTGTATTTTCAAACTTCTGTCTGCTATTCAGAAGGCCCTTCCCTTAATTCTCTGGGCAAAACAGGACTCAGTCAATGCCCAGCTAATATCTTACTTTGAAAAACCTTCACCAAACCTCTCACCCCACAGAATTAATTCTGAAATCTTTTGTGCTCCTCAATGTTGATCATATACTTAGCACAGCCCTTATCACATTATTAACTTATATGCCCTAATTATACCTTCATTAAGTGTAAGAATTTTAAACCTGGGTGACTAGAACAGTGGTAATGACAAAAATAAGTAAGAAAATTCAAAGAAGGATTTATTTCTGAGGAAAAATTACTTGGTTTTAGATTATTTAACAGTTGTAATGTTACATGCCTCCCTATATGATCCAGGGCTAAAGCTTGGCATATTTTTTTTTCCCTTGGCTTCACTCTAAAATCTCATGGGTCCTCAGATAATACATAATATATATCTATGTTTCACATGGACCAGCCCAGGCGTCATAAAGCTTACAACAGCATACAGTAAGGAGAAACAATAGTAGTTTAGTTATTATAAAAATATGTTATATATTCAGATAGAACTGGGTTCCCATCTTGTTTCTGTTATTGTTTTACCTGGTAATGGTGTGACTTTTCTGAGTTTGTTTTTTCATCAGTAAAATGAATATAATAATGCCACTTCAAGATTTCTTAGGGGGTTGGATGTTAAATGAGATTAAGTATCTAGCGTGTGATTGGTGATTGTGATGTATATAAATATGTAAAGAATGCTTCATCTAAAAAAAAAAGAATGCTTCATCTATCTTTCCCAAAAGTCAATTTTTTTTTTTTTTTTTGAGACGAAGTTTTGCTCTTTTTGCACAGGCTGGAGTGCAGTGGCACCATCTCAGCTCACTGCAACCTCCACCTCCCAGGTTCAAGCGATTCTCCTGCCTCAGCCTCCTGAGTAGCTGGGATTACAGGCATGTACCACCACACCCAGCTAATTTTTGTATTTTTAATAGAGACAGGGTTTTACCATGTTGGCCAGGCTGGTCTGGAACTCCTGACCTCAGGTGATCCGCCCCCTCTTGGCCTCCCAAAGTGCTGGGATTACAGGCACAAGCCACCGTGCCCGGCCCCAAAAGTCAAATTTTTGACAGTATTTTTACCCCACCTTGTCAAATTGAAAAATATTTTGTTCTTAATAAATGTCATAAACATGTTTATCTAAAACTTTTATTTGAATGTGTTGTTTTTAACAAAAAAAATTTTAAGGTAGGAAAACATGTCTTTACCTGCAAATTGAGGAGTTGTTTGCTTGTGTTTGAAAGAAAGGTGGAAGCACTGATCACCATCTATGCTAAGTTTCGCATAGAAGTCTAAAGCAGAGCATAAACTTTTGTGTCTTTCTTGGAGAATGCTGAATTCAGTTTTTGCAACCACATACTATCAGATGATTCCAATCTTAGGTGGAATGGAGGAAGAAAATTTTGCTAGTAGAGGTCACTAAATCAGCAGCTGTTTAGGCAGTGAGAGACTTATCCCACTCCTGTAGCATCATGTGTTCCTATTATCCTGCACTCTCCCCTCTACTCCCAGTGAGCTCACTCTCCATTAAAACTATTGGAGGAAAATGAATGTATATTTTTACTGGTAAAATATGTGTACAATCAATACTTTTCCTTTATATTGCTTACACTCTGACATCCTGAAACAAAGAGTTTTACAGTTAACCATGGGTTAATACTCAGAATAAAATGGCTATGGGTAAATACTTGTTCCTTCCTGTATAGGACCTATAAATCCTAAATCATGGCTTTCACCCAGTGAAAGGATGAAAGCACACAGTTCCTTCTACAACTCCCCTAAGTTAATACCCCACTTTTCATCCACAATCCCTCAAAGACCTTTATTTTTTCTCCAAAGTATACTGACTGGCACAGCCCCTTCTTCCCCAGGTGCACTCAAATTTCCTGTTGAGATGTCAAGGCCTATACTGTGGAGTGTTATTACTGTTGATACCTACAGTGGTTGGTCTGAATAAAATATGTATAACTGCTTCTGTTTTGCTTTCTGTAAATATCTGTTCAAATTCTTGGAATTCTCTCCCAGCTCACTTCATGTAGCCTTTCATCAGGGACTTAGATCTTAATGCTTTCGCCACCTCCTTAGTAGTCTGCTAGAAGGCTTCCGTGGCAGCTTATTTTCACTGCCAACAGCAGGATTGCATCAAAAGGGCAGTAGACCATAATATTTAGGAATTCAGGCTCTAGTTTGGAGTCAGAGACCGGGGTTCACATGTCACTCCAGCTCCTTGGGCAAATTATTTAACTTCTCTAAGCTTCAGTTTCCTTATCTGCTGAGTGGAGGTATAGTATTCACCCTAAAGTTGGCTGTGAATATTAAATGATATTATGAATATAAAATGCATTATATATTGCCTTGGACATTGTAAACATTCAGTAAAGCTTACCTATTATAAGGATCAAAGAGTAAAGGAAGCTGGGAAAGGAGGGATGCTAAAAGACAATTTTTTAAATAGATGGGGTCTTGCTATGTTGCCCAGGATGGTCTCAAACTCCTGGCCTCAAGTGATCCTCTTGCCTCAGCATAATAAAAAATATGCCTGAAGGTGTTGAAAAGGAAGAGACTATACTGTCGTGCAAATTTGTTGAGTGATTACTATGGCCAAGAAATGGAACAATGACTGAGGCATAACCCCTACCTTCAAGAATCTTAGAGTCTAGTTTCTCCTTTAGTAAAGCTTCAGTAGCCACTATTAATATCTTTGTGGTAAAAACAAATAGGTAAAATTTTGAAATAATGCAGGTGTGTTAATTTCTCATGATAGAATTAGAAAGGACCATGAAAAATCTGTCCACCCTGTCTTGAGATGGGTGAAAATCTGGAAGGCTTTGTAAGTAAAAAGGATCACTGATAGTAGAATATTATTCTAGTACTATTTCTAGACATTTCTAGAAAAGAAATGTCAGATAATACTATATATAAAAATAATTTGAGTGAAATTATGGTGCAGTTGTATTTTTTCAGCTAATAAGGTTCTTTTCTAATTAATACTCTATTGCTGAAAGCCACTTAAATCCCAACAAAATGAAATATATAAAGAAATTATGGTACTTATACCATGTCAGAATTAAAAATCAGGTTTTGGCCTGGGTGCGGTAGCTCGTGTCCGTAATCCCAGCATTTTAGGAGGCCGAGGAAGGCAGATCACTTGAGGCCAGGAGTTCGAGACCGGCCTGGCCAACATGGTGAAATCCCTCACTACTAAAAACACAAAAACTATCTGGGCATGGTGGCACATGTCTGTAATCCCAGATACTTAGGAGGCTGAGGCATGAGAATCACCCGAACCTGGGAGGCGGAGGCTGCAGTAAGCCAAGATTGTCCCACTGCACTCCAGCCTGGGCGACAAAGTGAGACTCTGTTTCAAAAAAAAAAAAAAAAAAAAAACTGGTTTTGGAGGACTCAATAATGACATGGGAAAATACTTCGTGATAAATGAAAAAAGCAGGCCTAGATATATAGTATGGTTCTAATTTTGTTAGAAAAGTATACAGAAGGAAACCAATAGTTGGAAGGTGAGATTACAAGTAAATTTATTTTCTTCTTGAAACCCTTTTGAATAAAATAAACATTTCAAAAAAATGATTCAGGCTCTTAAAATACTGAGGCTTATGGTGCATTAGTTTTCAACTTAACATAGGTCACATTAAAAATCTGTTTAGGTGGGTCACCACAAAACAAATATGGACACAAGACAAAAAGTAACTGAAAGGGGAGAAAGTTTCAAGATTAATTTAACTCATATTGTTGGAGTATATAAATTATTATGTATCCCCGCCAGAAAGGACTGACTAGAGCTCAGTAAACAACATGCATAAATCTAATTCTGGCATATTACTAAATCATACCTTCAGAACCAGTATAAGCTTGAGAAGGATCACCTATTATGTCCATTGACAGTGAGTTGTATGAGTCCTGAGAATGTTTTTCTGTCACCCCTGCTGTATGACTGGATAAAGATGATGATGAAGACAATCCCAGTCTAACATATCTTCTTTTTTTACCACAGAGTGAACAATCTACTGGTGTGGCACTAGGTCCCCGGGGCAGCTGAACTTCATCTCTGTTGTAGTTTCTGACAGCTCCACTGTGATGAACAGAACGTTCTCTTTGCCAGATATAATGGGTTGGTGCAATGGCCATAACCTATAATAGAAAGCTAACTTTTAGAATTTTAGTAATATTTCAAAATTTACTAAAATTGAGTTCAAAACTTATAACTCAAGAACAACTGTCTCTAAAGTGAAGATAAAAATCCAAATTGCTGATTTAAAAAACAAAGCACTTCCAGATAAGGCAATATTACTAAAAAGTGACTCATTGCTTGGATCTTTAAGACAATAATTGACAAAGTAAATTATTTTAAACAGGAAATAGGACTGAAGCAATCTTCCAGGTTGTCAGGGTATTTATTTTTTAATTCTGAATATTCTAAGTTTGGGAAAGATAATACAGTTACTCCAAAACAATATGTGATTCTTAACTTTGGAATGTATTGGGTTAAAAAAAGTTAATTGGCCGGGCGCGGTGGCTCACGCCTGTAATCCCAGCATTTTGGGAGGCCGATGCGGGTGGATCACAAAGTCAGGAGATCAAGACCATCCTGTCTAACACGGTGAAACTCCGTCTCTACTAAAAATACAAAAAAATTAGCCGGGCGTGGTTGTGGGCGCCTGTAGTCCCAGCTACTCAGGAGGCTGAGGCAGGAGAATGGCGTGAACCCGGGAGGCGGAGCTTGCAGTGAGCCGAGATCGCGTCACTGCACTCCAGCCTGGGCCACAGAGAGAGACTCCGTCTCAAAAAATAAAAGTAAAAATAAAAATAATTAAGGTTCCCAGCTATGTGTGTTATGGTAATCTTAAAATGTCTGCAATTATGACAAGAGATATGGTGAATAAGAACATAGGTAAGTTATTTAACCTCGCTGTTCCTCAGTTTTGTCAGCATGGAGATAATAAATGTCTATTTTAGAGGGTTGCTGCGAGGATCAGATGAGGCATTATTTATAAAGCCTCACTATCTTCCAGGCATTGTTCTATAAGGTTTGTTAAATAAAACATGGGCTTTAGAGTCCGGGTACACTTGGTTTCTTACC
This sequence comes from Homo sapiens, assembly GCF_000001405.40. Classification (NCBI taxonomy): domain Eukaryota; kingdom Metazoa; phylum Chordata; class Mammalia; order Primates; family Hominidae; genus Homo; species Homo sapiens. The sequence goes on along the minus strand of NC_000002.12, from coordinate 28,839,222 downwards.
CTGGCACTGCCACTTGCTAGCTGTATAATACTGGGCAAGTTATTTAACTTTTCTGGGACTCAATTTCTTCATCTCTAAAATGGGCATATCATCTACTTCACAGGATTATTCTGAGGACTAGATGAGTAAAATCATCACATAGTGAGGATCTGGCAAATGACAATTATTTAAGTCAAGCTGGGGAACTGTACATATGTGCTAACCTCATGAAATCTAAAACTTCTAAGCATTCTAAGCAAAAGTCTTTAGTTACAGTCATCAATGACCCAAAGTAAATGAGAACTGTAACATTCGAGAGCTGGACAGAGCCTTATTAATTGCCTAGAGCAGTGATTTTCAAAACATTTAGAAAGTCCAGGTGCAATGGCCCACTCCTGTAATTGCCACCATGCCCAGCTAATTTTTGTATTTTTAGTAGAGACAGGGTTTCACCATGTTGGCCGGGCTGGTCTTGAATGCCTGACCTCAAGTGATCCACCCTCCTCGCCCTCCCAAAGTTCTGGGATTACAGGCGTGAGCCACCTCGCTCAGCCAAAAACTGTTATTTTTGCAATAAGTTCATCATAGTCTCTCCACATACTAACCCACCTAGGAAAATACACAATCATGGTTATTTTTAAATATGTCTACATATATTTTATACACATATAATCATATAATTAGAATTTTACTGTGATAAGTGAATTAAAAATAAAACTACCAGGGTCAAGAGAGCTAGATTTTCATCTTAATTCTGTTACTCTGGCAGGTGCAGTGGCTCACACTTGTAATCCCAGCACTTTGGGAGGCTGAGGTGTGCGGATCACTTGAGGCCAGGAGCTCGAGACCAGCCTGGCCAACATGGTGAAACCCCATCTCTACTAAAAATACAAAATTAGTTGGGCATGGTGGCGCATGTCTATAATCCCAGCTACTTGGGAGGCTAAGGCAGGAGAATCGTTTGAACCTGGGAGGTGGAGGTTGCAGTGAGCTTACACCTTGCCATTACACTCCAGCCTGGGTGACAACAGTGAAACTATCTCAAAAAAAAAAAAAAAAAAAAAATCCGTTACTTCTATGACCTTGGGCAAATTACACAACTTTCTGGGCCATAGGGTGTCTTTTATATGAGAAAATAGGTCACTTTCAGTCCCCCAATGCTGTGATTCTATGAAACGGACTTCTCTGAAACACTAGTAGCAGTTGATGTACTAGAAACATCCCCCTTTTTTACTTTATCTTATTCTTTTGTCATTTTTAGTGATTGGGGGGTGCCTTGGGTCAGTGTTCCTAAAATTTGATACTTGGCCCTCTGTTTTTCTGTGTATATACTCTACCTGTCTGTGATCTCAAGAGGTAGTATAATATAGGTGTTAAAAGCACTGACTGTCAAAACCAACCCAGTCAGCTTCTCCTCTCCCTGGCAGGGAGGAGAATGGGGAGGAATGGGGAGCAGACAGGGATAGGCATGAAAAAATTAAAAAAAAAAAAAAAAAAAAAAGCACTGACTCTGGAGTCAGACTGCCTAGGCCTGAATACTGGAGTGCTGCTTTACTTATTGTGTGTCTTTGAAGAAGTCACTTAACCTCTCTGTTCCTTAGTTTCTTATCTGGGATTACCTAGCTAGATCTAAGAATTGTGAGAGTTAATAATACATGGGCAATACTTAGAACAGTGCCTGGAAAGTTCTTAAAAAGTATTAATATTACTTTGACCTTGAATCTCTTAAATACTCGAAGCATCATTTATACGTAATGACTTTTACCATACCTGTTGACCATTCATTTAATTATATCCAGTTACTGCCTTACATTCATGTCTATATACCAAATTCCTTATCTTCCCAAAGAATCCAGTTTGCTTCTGTAGGCTTCCCTATTTCCATTATGGAACCCATTACTCTTCCTGTTATATATATTTGAAACTTACAGTTCCCTCTCCCATGTACCCTATATCCAACTGGTTACCAGGTAATGATAATTATAATTTTTTAACATTTCTAACATCTGTTTCATTTTCTTCAGCACTGCTATCAATTTTCTTCACAACCTTGTTTCCAGCTATAGCAAGTTTAGCAGTTTCCAATACATTCCCTATATTGGATCTCTTTTGCATACTGTCATTGGATTATTCTGTCAAAACACACTACTTATCTCATTGCTTTCTAAATTCCTAATCTGGAATCAAGTAATAGATAGTGAAGAACTCAGCTATGATGATATTGTGGCATCTTGGCCAGAGTATTAACGGGAATAGAGAAAAACTTCTTGATTAAATTGCTACCCTCCATGATGCATGAAAGGGGCTGGAAGTGTAGTCTAACTCTCTCATTAGATAGGCATCCTCCCTAATGTGTGAACCAGTTTAGAAATTAAGCCATCACCAATGTAAATAAATCCCACCTTAAAGGAGTTGTTGATAAGATCATCAGGTAAGAAGATAAAATCAGAATAAACAAAGAAATAGTCCACTCTTTTCTGGAGAAGCCCTATATATATTTTCCAATTTAATCACAACCCATCTCTTTCCAAAAAGGAATGAGGCAGCTGAGAAAAAAGGGGAAAAAATTTCATTGAGCTTAGACCCAAAAGGGAAATTTCGACTAAAAGGGGAAAGCAGACATGCCAGTAATAAAATGTAATAGAGTTGATGTGGTCAAGGATAATACCTGGCTTTTAGCTTCTTTGCAGCCAAGATTAAAAAAAGAAAAGAGACAATTACAAAACTCACTATTTGAAAAGACAGCACATGTTCTTTCTTATGTCAGTGGTGTATAATTCAAAGAGCACTAAGTTATTAGTATCTGCTACTTATTAACTTCATGGCCATGGACAAATCACAATCTTACTAAGCCACAGTTTTTGCATCTGTGAAATGGAGGGAATACTGCGGCTATTTAATTCCCAAGACAAGAAATAAATGCATTTTCTAAACTAACCAATATGAGAGGTTTATATGGAGGCTAGATGTCACAGAAAAAAGAGAACACTAGGAAGTCATTAGATGTTCTGGCTCTGCAACTTCTATGATTTTGAGTAAATCCCAGCCTCCTCGGTCCTCAGTTTCATTAGCTGTGAAATGAGGATGCCACCACCCCCACAGCTATTTGTGTGATAATTTCTGTAAAAGTCATAATTTGTAAAGCACTGTGCAAATGTAAAGTATTATTATTATAAGCTAGTTTGTAGCTACTATCTTAACTTGAGGTTATTTTAGGATATGGGACTAAAGAAATGTTTCGTTTGGCAGTATGCCAGGCTTTCAGTAACAAATGTATAGAACAGTTACATTTTCAACAGTATGTCTTGCTATTTCAGGAATGGGAATGGGGTGATATAATACTTCTTTACAATAAACTCCCAGGGCACTGAACTTGGTGTGTTATTCATAAAGTAGTTGTCCAGTGAACACTTAACAGAACAGGATAAAATCTACTAGGCAGTTACCTTTTCTATACGCCTACAGGATTCAAATGTACCTTGTTGGAACAGCCAAAAAACAGCTTCTCTATCTGCCACTGGAGTAAGCGGCAGTGCAAAGTGAGCTCAGTGAATAATTATTTTATAGTTTATTGTTTCCCTATTTAATGGATAAGAAGGTATGAAAAAGAATTGGAAGTTCCATTCATTTGATCAGTCAACAAATATTTATTGACTACCCACTATGTGCCAGGCACTGTTCTAGGCTCTGGAGATAGAATAAGAACAAAATAAGGCTGGGCGCTCATGCCTGTAATCCCAGCACTCTGGGAGGCTGAGGCAGGTGGATCACTTGAGATCAGGAGTTTGAGACCAGCCTGGCCACCATGGTGAAAACCCTGTCTCTACTAAAAATACAAAATAGCCGGGCGTGGTGGCGCATGCCTGTAATCCCAGCTGTAATCCTAGCTACTTGGGAAGCCGAGGCAGGAGAATCGCTTGAACCCAGGAGGTGGAGGTTGCAGTGAGCCAAGATCACGCCATTGCACTCCAGCCTGGGTGACAGAATGAAACTCTGTCTTAAAAAAAAAAAAAAAAAGGTCAGGCACTATGGCTCACATCTGTAATCCCAGAACTTTGGGAGGCCAAGGTGGGAGGATTGCTTGAGCCCAGGAGTTCAAGGTTGCAGTGAGCTACGATTGCACACTGCAGCTGGCAGCCTGGGTAACAGAATGAGACCCTGTCTCAAAAACAAAAACAAAACAAAACAAACAAATGCAAAATAAAGACCCTGCTCTCTTGGAATCTGTATTTTAGTGGGAGGAAATTTATTAACAAGATAAATAAGTAAAAAGCAGTCTGTTACATGATGGTTGAGTGCTATGAGGAAAATTGGAACTGAGAAAGGGAATACAGAGTAATAGTGGGAGGAACTACTTTTAATTTTAACAGCTTTGAAATGTAATTAAAATACCTTAGAATCACCCAATTGAAATGTACAATTCAATGATATTCAATATATTCAGAGTTAAGCAACCATAACCACGGTCAATTTTGAAGCATTTTCATCACTCTATATATAAAGCAATCACACTCCATTTTCTCCCTTCTCTCAGCCCATAACAACTACTAATCTACTTTCTGTCTTTGAATTTGTCCATTCTGGACCTTTCATATAAATGGAATCATACAATATGTCGTCCTTTGTGACAGGCTTCTTTTATGTAGCATAATCTTTTCAAGGTTATCTGCGTTGTAGCTTGAACCAGGTACTTCATTCCTTTTAATTGCCAAGTAATATTTTATTGTAGGGATATACCTTATTTTGTTTATCCATTCTATCAGCTGATGGACATTCAGGTTGTTTGTACTTTGGCTATTATGAATACTGCTATGAACATTCATGTTAAAGTTTTTTGTGTGGACATAGTTTTGTTTTTACCCTTTGGCATATATAGCCAGGACTAGACTTGCTGGATCATATGGTAACTCTATGTTAACCTTGTGAGGAATTGCCAGACTGTTATGCAAAGCAACTTCCCCATTTTACATTTCCATAAGAAGTGTATGAGGGTTCCAGTATCTCCACATCCTCTTCAATACTTTTATTTTTGTTTTGTTTATAGCCATCATAGTGGGTGTGAAGTAATATCTCATCGTGCTTTTGATTTGCAATCCCTGACAGCTAATGATGTTGAACATCTTTTCAAGTGTGTGTGTGTGTGTGTGTGTGTGTGTGTGTGTTTTAGCAATTTGCATACCTTCTTTGGAGAAATGTCTATTTGGATTATTTGCCCATTTTTTAAATTGATTGTCTTTTTATTATTAAGTTGTAAAGCTCTTTATATTTCTAGATACAAGACCCTTATCAAATAGATGACTTGCAAAAAATTTTTTTCATTTTATAGGTCATCTCTTCACTTGGTATCCTTTGAAGGACAAAAGGTTTTAATTTTGATGATGTCTATTTTATATTTTCTTTTGTTACATGTTACTTTTGGTATCATGTCTAAGAAACCTAATTCAAGGTCACGAAGACTTACCCCTATGTTTTCTTCTAAGAGTTTTATGGTTTTAGGTTTTACATTTAGGTCTTTGATCCATTTTGAGTTAATTTTTATATATGGTATAAACCAGAGGTTCGGCTTCATTCTTTTGCTTGTAGATATCCAGTTGTCATAGCACCATTTGTTGAAAAGACTACATTTTCCCCATTGAATTTTCTTGGCACCCTTGTCAAAATTCAATTGAACATAATTGTGACGGTATATTTCTGGACACTTCTATTCCATGGAGGGAGATACTACTCTATATAAGGTGATAAGGAAAGGTCTCTCTGAGGTGACATTTAAGCAGAATCCTGAACGTAGTTAGGAAGTGAAGCATACTGATATTTGGGGAACAACATTCCAGGTTATGGGAATAGTAAGTGCAAAGACCATGAGATGGGAGTGTAACTGGTATCTTTGAGGTAAGGAGGCCGGTGTAGCTTGAGTGGAAGAGCAAAGATATGAGATGAAATCAAAGAGATAAGGGAGGAGGGCTGATAGACCATGTAGGACCATGACAGGGACTTTCTCTTTTACCCTATGTAAGGCTGGAAGACACTGGAGGCTTTTGAGTAGAGAAGTCATGATTTGACTTACCTAAAAAAAAAATTACTCTGGCAGCTGTATGAAGAATAGATTATAGCTGCATATGGTGGCTCACACCTGCAATCCCAGCACTTTGGGAGGCCAAGGTGGGAGGATTGCTTAGGCACAGGATTTTGAGACCGGCCTGGGCAACATAGCGAGACCCCATCTCTACAAAAAATAAATTAGCTGGGCATGGTGGCACATGCCTGTAGTCCCAGCTACTTGGGAGGCTAAGGCAGGAGATCGCTTGAGTCTAGGAGGTTAAGGCTGCAATGAGCCATGATCTCACCACTGCACTACTGCCTGGGTAACAGAGTAAGACCCTGTCTTTAAAAAAAAAAAAAAGGTGGGGGTGGGAGAGACTATTTGGAAACTTATGCCAGTAATCAAGGCAAGAGGTGACAATAAAAGTATAGTATTAGTGGTGGAGGTGGTGAGAAATGGTAGGATGCTGGATATTTTTTCAAGGTACAAATATAAGAAAAAGAAGGGTAAATGGAAATAATTTTTTGGCCTGAGCAACTAAAACAATAGAGTTGCTACTTATGAATATGTGGAAGACTGCAGGAGGAGCAAATCTGGAGGTCTGTGTCAAGGAGTCAGGAGTTCAATTTTAGGCACGTTAAGTTTGAGGTATCAATTAGACAAAAAATACCAACAGGCGATTTCGTATGCAGATCTGGAATTGGAAGAAATTATTAGTTGTTAGTGTTAAAGCCTTGAGAGTGAATGGGGTCACCTAATAAGTTAATACCAATAGAAAGGAGAAGAGATCCTAAGTCTGAGCCCTGGGGCACTCTAATGAAGTTGGTGAGGTGAAAAGGAACTGGCAAAAATGACTGAAAAAAACCTGGTATCCTCAAAACCAAGTGAAGACAGTGTTTCAGGAAGAAATGAGGGATAGTGTCAAATGCTGCTAAATTGAGTAGATTGAGGAATACAAATTAACCTTGGGATTTGGCCATATAGAGATATTTGGTGGCCTGACAAGTTTCTACAGAATGATAGGAAAAATACTTTATATAACAGGTTCAAACAGAATGGAAAGAACAGAAGTAGAGATAGAATACAAGCAATTCTTCAAGGAGTTTGGTTATAAGGGAGGCAAAGCAGAGAAATGTAGTGGTAGCTGGGGGATAAAGTTTTTGTTTTTGTTTTTATTGATGGATATCTTAGAGCAATTCTACATTCTGATGGCAGTGATCCAATAAAATAAAAAATGTGAAATGCTGGAAAGGGGACAATTACTGGAATGTGATGTCCTTGAGAAAGCAAGAAAAGATGAGATCTAGTGCACAAGTAGAGGGAATGGATTTGGATAGGAGCAAAGATCGTTCTTTCACAGTAACAAAGGGAAGGCAGAATATAGGGGTACGCATGTAGGTAGGATAGACGATAAGATGTGAGCACGTGGACAGTCTGTTCTACTGCTTCTCTTTTCTCAGTAAAAGAGAGTAATGCATGATTGTTGTAATTGAAGTGTGAGGACAGAGATGGGAGATATTAGAAGTGTACTAGATTTTTTACTTCATTACATTTACAGTTTATTGTTTAGACAATAGATAAGCAAATAAATAATTACAAATTTTATTCAGTGCTACAGAAGGAAACAAAGTATTGTGATAAGGATAATGGAATTAAATTCATTTAAATAAGGTGACCTTTTTGAAGAGGAAAAACAAGTTCCATTAATTTTTTTAAATGTTGCTAAATTTTAAAATTATGAAAAAGCATTAGGAATAATATAACAAACATCCATATCCCTACTGCCTAGAATTAATAGATGTAATACTGCTATTTTTGCTTCAAGCCTTTTTTATTTTTATTTTTTGGGACAGGGTCTTGCTCTGTTGCTGAGGCTGGAGGGCAGTGGCATAATCATGGCTCACTGCAGCCTGAATCTTCTGGGCTCAGGTGATTCTCACACCACAGCCTCTCAAGTAGCTGGGACTACAGGTGTGCACCACCACGCCTACCTAATTTTTTGTATTTTTTGTGGAGACAGTGTTTTGCCATGTTACCCAGGATGGTCTTGAACTCTTGGACTCAAGTGATCCAGGCCACCTTAGCCTCCAAAAGTGCTGGGATTACAGGTGTGAGCTACCATGCCTGCCTGCCCTTTTTAAATTAAAAGAAATAATATAGTTTCTGGTATGTATTTACTAAGTGCTCACTAAATCAATGTATATTAATGAATAAGTTAATTCTATCAAATCTTAAGATTTGCAAGTATATCAACATTTATCAAATTTTTCTTAACTAATACTAGAGCTTACAGTGACCACTGCTTTCCATTTAATTTTCTACTCTAGAATTTTTCTGTGGTTTGAAATAGTGACTTTATTAAAAACCAGAACATTTGGTAAAATAACTGATTATTAAATTTTTAGTGTCTTGCTGATTTATCCTAAAAGATTTGGCATTAAGGAAACAATATATTCTTTGTGAAAAGAGTTATGATTTTAAAGAATATTTAAATTGTATACCATTTAATATATGTGTTAAATAGTGTTTCAATTTTGGGAACCTGAAATTTCACATACTTTATTGAGCAGAAATTATTATTCAACTCCAGTGTTATTGTAATCCTAAATAAGATATTTTGGTTTGTTCATATCACCCTTTTTCAATATATTGATGATCCTTTAGACAGAAGAAATACACTAAAATAAAAGTACTTACTATAAGCCGGGCACGGTGGCTCACGCCTGTACTCCCAGCACTTTGGGAGGCCGAGGCGGGCGGATCACAAGGTCAGGAGATTGACACTATCCTGGCTAACACGGCGAAACCCCGTCTCTACTAAAAATACAAAACATTAGCCAGGCATGGTGGCGGGCGCCTGTAGTCCCAGCTAATTGGGAGGCTGAGGCAAGAGAATGGCGTGGACCCGGGAGGCGGAGCTTGTAGTGAGCAGAGATCGCACCACTGCACTCCAGCCTGGGTGACAGAGCAAGACTCTGTCTCAAAAAAAAAAAAAAAAAAAAAGTACTTACTATAGAAGTAGGCTGCTCTGAAAAATAGAAATGACAATTTGTTTGTTTGTTTTTGAGATGGAGTTTCGCTCTGTTGCCCAGGCTGGAGTACAGTGGCACCATCTCAGCTCACCGCAACCTCTGCCTCCTGGGTTTAAGTGATTCTCCTGCCTCAGCCTCCCAAGTAGCTGGGATTACAGGCACCAGCCACCACATTTGGTTAATTTTTGTATTTTTCTTTTTCTTTTCTTTTCTTTTTTTTTTTTTTTTGAGATGGAGTCTCGCTCTGTCGCCCAGGCTGGAGTGCAGTGGCGCGATCTCTGCTCACTGCAAGCTCCGCCTCCTGGGTTCACACCATTCTCCTGCCTCAGCCTCCCAAGTAGCTGGGACTACAGGCGCCTGCCACCACGCCCGGCTAATTTTTTTTGTATTTTTAGTAGAGACGGGTTTCACCATGTTGGCCAGGATGGTCTTGATCTCCTGACCTCGTGATCTGCCCGCCTCGGCCTCCCAAAGTGCTGGCATTACAGGCGTGAGCCACCGCACCCAGCCTAATTTTTGTATTTTCAGTAGAAATGGGGTTTCACCATGTTGGCCAGGCTGGTCTCAAACTCCTGACCTCAGGAGATCCACCCGCCTCAGCCTCTCAAAGTGCTGGGATTACAGGCGTGAGCAGGGCTTGCCCGGTTGACAGTTTTTAGTTATGGTGATAATAAGACAGCAACATTGTAATACACAAGTTGTATTCATGGTAATGATCAATGGTCTACTCCACATATTAGAAAAAAAAAAAAAACCCAGAATACCAAAACATTAGAAGCACATTAAAAAACAAGGATAATAAGATAAACAGAAAACAAAGATTACATATATAAAGCATTTTAAAATTCTTACCTCCTCACAACATCGCCTGCTTACAATAGCCCTATAGTCAATTCTATCCCAGAGCTGGTCCCTTAACTTTAAGAAATTAGGGAACAATTTTCTCCAGTTTTTCCCTAAAGCCCATGGAAAAATTTCGTACTTGGTTTCTTCTTCATCTTCTTCAACTGTATTAGCCAGATACCTAACAAAGAAGATCACAACCCAAAAAAGAAATGGGTAAAGGACAGAAACAGGTAGTTCACATACACCAAGACATAAAAGTGGTTTATAAACACATGAAAGGTGTTCAACGTTAATTAAAGAAATGCAGTTCAAAAATAGAGATACATGTAGTTAATTTTACCTTGTTGGGTTCTAGGTATTTCTTATTCCTACAAATCTTGAGCTTTGTTCTGGGATGCAGTTAGTTACTTTGAAATAGTCTGATTCTTTCAGATGTTGCTTTTATGATTTTTTTAGGTGGATCTGGAACAATGTTCAGTCTGGGGCTAGTTATTCCTCACTACTGAGGCAAGACCTTCCTGAGTACTCTTCTCAATGCTCCATGAATTATGAATCTTTTCAGCCTGGCTGGTGGGAACAGCCACTATTTGCAGCCGTATGTGAATGTTAGGCAGTATTCCTCCTAATCTTTTCTTAACATCTTTCCTCAGATTCAGGTAATTTTCTTATACACATATGAAACTCAGCATTCTGCTGAATGCTTGATGGGGACCAGGCATGCACAGAAGCAGGAAAACATGACTCATCATAAGGCGACTAATCAAAATCAACCCCAAACTGATACCCATGGTTGACATAAAAGATAAGGACACTGGAACAGTTATAACTATTCTGTATGTTCAAAAAGTTAAGTAGACATATTGAAAATGTACTTTTAGAGATGAAAACTACAATGTGTACAATGAAAAATACACTGATTGGGATTAATGGCAGATTAAATATTACAGAGAAAACATCTGTGAATTGAAGACACAATAGAAAGTATTCAAGATGAAATACACAGAGAAAAAAGAAACAAAAATCATAAACACAAGATGAGGGCCGGGCGTGGTGGCTCACTCCTGTAATCTCAGAACTTTGGGAGGCCAAGGTGGGCGGATTGCTTGAGGCCAGGAGTTCAAGATCTGCCTGGCCAACACAGTGAAACCCCATCTCTCCTAAAAATACAAACATTAGCTGGGCGTGGTGGCCTGCGCCTGTAATCCCAGCTACTTGGGAGGCTGAGGCAGGAGAATCGCTTGAACCCGGAAGGCAGAGGTTACAGTGAGCCACCGAGATTGCAACACTGCACTCCAGCCTGGGTGACGGGGAGACTCTGTCTCAAAAAGAAAAAAGAAAAAAGAAAAAAATAAGAAAAAATAAACACAGCATCAGTTTGATGTGGGACTTCAAGAAACAGGCGGAATTGGAGACTCTGAAGGCCAGTATCAATAACAATGAAGGATTCTTTCAATGCACTGTAATCTGAATAGGGCAGACAGAAAATGAGGTGGACAGAAGACATTTGAAGGAGTAACAGCTGAAAGTTTTTGAAATTTAATAAAAACTATAAACCTACAAAGAAGTTCAATGAACCTCAAAGCACATGAAACATGAAGAAAATTAAACCAGTGAACACCACAATCAAATTGCTCAAAACCAGTGATAAAGAGTAAATCTTAAAAGTACTCAGAGAAAAAAAAACCATTAGATAACACAGGCACCATGATTAGGATGGGGTAGATTTCTCATTGGAAATAGTACAAGTCTCACAGATGACTTTCCAAGAAAAACAGGCAACTTACAATAAAAATATTACAAAACACATAAGGGAACAAGGTACCAAGAACAGTAACAGACCCTGAAATCTGAAAGTAATGGAACAGACACAGAAAGTAAGAATAACTATTTCCAGTAAAGATAATACGATACATGGAAAAGTATATTTGAAAAAGAAGAAAATAGAACTTTTATAAATGGAAAATTTTATAATGAAATTAGCATATTAGACATAAGCTGAAGATAAAATTAGTGAACTGAGAGATAAGTCTAAATAAATGATCTAAAATGCAGCCCAAAGAAACACAGATAGAAAATAGCAAAGATTGGCCCGGCTCGGTGGCTCACGCCTGTAATCCCAGCACTTTGGGAGGCTGAGGCGGGTGGATCACGAAGTCAGGAGATTGAGACCATCCTGGCTAACACGGTGAAACCCCGTCTCTACTAAAAAATACAAACAAATTAGCCAGGCGTGGTGGCGGGCGCCAGTAGTCCCAGCTACTCGGGAGGCTGAGGCAGGAGAATGGCGTGAACCCGGAGGCGGAGCTTGCAGTGAGCCGAGCACTCCAGCTTGGGCGACAGAGCGAGACTCCTTCTTAAAAAAAAAAAAAAAAAAAAGAAAGAAAAGAAAAAAGAAAATAGCAAAGATGGGGATGGGTCCAGTGGCTCACACCTGTAATCCCAACACTTTAGAAGGCTGAGGCAGGTGGAGTGCTTGAGCTGAGGAGTTCGAAACCCAGCCTGGGCAACATGGAGAAACCCCATCTCTACAAAAAAATACAAAAATTAGCTGGGTGTTGTGGTGAATGCCTGTGGTCCCAGCTATTCGGGAGATTGAGGTGGGAGGATCCCTTGATCCAGGGAGGTGGAGATCGCAGTGAGCTGAGATCACACCACTGCACTCCAGCCTGGGCAACAGTTAGACTGTCTCAAAAAAAAAAAAAAAAAAAAAAAAAGAGAGAAAGAAAGAAAAAGAAAATTTCAAAGATAAGTGATGGGGAAGACCGAGCGAGGCATAACAAGTTTAATTGGTTTCAAAAGGAGAAAAAGGAGATAGCAGAGGAAGAGAAATATTTGAAGAGACAGTGGATAGAATTTTCTGAGTTGTCTGTTGAAAGGCATCAATCTTCAGGCCAGGCTCAGTGGCTCACGTCTGTAATCCCAGTACTTTGGGAGGCTTAGGCGGGTGGATTACCTGAGGTCAGGAGTTTGAGGCCAGCTTGGCCAATATGGTGAAACCCTGTCTCTACTAAAAATACAAAAGTTAACCAGGCATGGTGGTCTGTGCCTGTAGTCCCAGCTACTTGGGAGATTGAGGTGGAAGGATTGCTTAAACCTGGGTGGCAGAGGTTGCAGTGAGCCAAGATGGTGCCAATGCACTCCAGCCTGGGTGACAGAGCAAGACTCCATCTCAAAAAACAAAAACGAAAAACATCAATCCTTAATCTTCAGAAAGGTTACCAAATCCCAAGTAAGTTATTAAAAAGAAACCAGTGCCAAACACCAAAGAAAAAGAGGTCTTAAAAGCAGCCAGAAGGCCAGGTGTGCAGCTCATGCCTGTAATTCCAGCACTTTGGGAAGGATGGCTTGAAGTCAGGAGTTTGAGACCAGTCTGGGCAACATGGCAAAACTCCATCTTTAAAAAAAAATAAAAAATAAAAAATTAGCCGGGTGTCGTGCTATGTGCCTGTGGTCCCAGCTACTCAGGAGGCTGAGGCAAGAAGATCACTTTAACCCTAGAGGTAGAGGTTGCAGTGAGCCAAGATCATGCTGCTGCACTCCAGCCTGGGTGACAGAGTGAGACCCTGTCTCAAAAAAAAAATTAAGAACCTCCTATATGTTAGTAATTGAAAGATGAAATAAAATGTTATATGTTCCTTGCCCATAAGGAGCCTACAATTAAGTAAAGAAGGCAAGTAAGCATGAAACAAATAATTGTGAAAGGTAATGTGGAAGAATGATAATAGAAGTTCAGAGTCTTATAAGAATACATAGAAAGGAAACATTATAAGACTGTATAGAAAGGAAAAGAACTTGAGCTTTAGAACTATGGCTGAGAAAATATTTAACGAGGAGAACTATTGAGGCCATACAAAAAGTATGATTAGTCTTAAAATGGAAATTATAATTCATGTTATTTTTAATATGGAGCTTACATAATACAACATGCAGTACAACCTTACAGATAATTGTATTGCATAAACTCAATAGTGCTCTACTGGTAATAACTTTATAAAACAAGTTAAACGAATTCAATTTCAGGCATCTAGTAAGATTTAAACTAAAGCTTCTTTTGGTTTGTTTTTAATTCTCAGGTAAAAAAAAAACACAAAATAAATATTGCATCAACATAGATACAATACAATACTGAGATATATAAACAGCAATTTAACTTAGTGGTTGATGGCTGAATTTGGTCATTGATAACCACTCCTGAGTTTGTGCCCCTGCTTTGCTGCTTACTAACTTGTTTGTTCTTAGAAAGTACTTAATCTTCCTCTCAGTTTCCTCATCTGTAAAATGGGGATAATAAAAAATTTATTTCATAGGGAAAATTAAATGAGTTAATACTACATTAAAATTTTTTGTGGTGCCTTGCACATAGTACTCAGTATTACCTAATACTATTATATTTAGCAATCATCCTAAATTTTGAGTTCATTTTTCCCTGTGCACTGGAAAATATATCTCCTGAATACAAGTAGAAATCAGTTTCTTTGGCTGGGCGCGGTGGCTCACGCCTGTAATCCTAGCACTTTGGGAGGCCGAAGCAGGTGTATCATGAGGTCAGGAGATCAAGACCATCCTGGCTAACACAGTGAAACCCCATCTCTACTAAAAATACAAAAAAAAATTAGCCGGGCGTGGTGGCATGCGCCTGTAGTTCCAGCTATTCAGGAGGCTGAGGCAGGAGAATTGCTTGAACCTGGGAGGTGGAGGTTGCAGCAAGCTGAGATAATGCCACTGCACTCCAGCCTGGGCAACAGAGAGAGACTCTGTCACAAAAAAAAAAAGAAAGAAAGAAAAGAAAAAGAAAAAAGAAATCAGTTTCTTCTAGTCCTGTTTTTTTTTTTTGTTTTTTTTTTTTTCTCCTGACAGCATCTTGCTCTGTTGCCCAGGCTGGAGTATAGTGGTGATCATAGCTCACTGCAGCCTTGAACTCCTGGGCTCAAGTGATCCTCTTCATCTCAGCCTCCCAAGTAGCTGGCACTACAGGCACATGCCACCATGCCTGGCTAATTTTTTTATTTTTATTTGTGTAGAGACTTACTATGTTGTCCAGGCTGGTCTTGGACTTCCAGCCTGAAGCAATCCTTCCGCCCCAGCCTCCCAAAGTGCTGGGATTACAGGCGTAAGCCACTGTACCCAGCCTAGTCCTATTTCTTTAATAACTCTTTGATTCTGAATTAAATACACTTTGAGTAAAAACTTTACCTTCAGTGCTGACAGCTATTGTGGTATTCAACTTAAATATTTTTTATATGTGTTCTCTAGGTAAACACTTAAAATTATATTCATATGGCTGGGCGCGGTGGCTCACGCCTGTAATCCTAGCACTTTGGGAGGCTGAGGCAGGCGGATCACTTGAGGTCAGGAGTTCGAGACCAGCCTGGCCAACGTGGTAAAACCTCATCTCTACTAAAAACACAAAAAATTAGTTGGGCGTGGTGGTGGGAGCCTGTAATCCCAGCTACTTGGGAAGCTGAGGCAGGAGAATTGCTTGAACCCGGGAGGCAGAGGTTGCAGTGAGCCAAGATCACGCCACTGCACTCCAGCCTGGGTGACAGAGTGAGACTCCATCTCAAAAAAAAAAAAAAATTTTATATATATATATATATATATATATATATATATATATATATATTCATGCATTCCCAACTACAGCATTATATCCAGCTATAGGGTAGAAAAGGAAATATACTCTTTTTTTTTTTTTCTTTCCTGAGACGGAGTCTTGCTCTGTCTCCCAGGCTGGAGTGCAGTGGTGTGATTTCGGCTCACTGCAACCTCCACCTCCCGGGTTCAAGCGATTCTCCTGCCTCAGCCTACCGAGTAGCTGGGATTATAGGTGCCCACCACCACGCCCAGCTAACTTGTGTATTTTTAGTAGAGACAGGCTTTCAACCATGTTGGCCAGGCTGGTATCGAACTCCTGACCTCAGATGATCCACCCGCCTCGGCCTCCCAAAGTGTTGGGATTACAGGCGTGAGCCACCGTGCCTGGCCAGAAACATATTCTTAAATAATGCAAATTCCAAATGTATTCTGACCTATAGATTGGAAAACCATTTCACAGATCACAATGAATATAAACTAAAGTCAGTGGAAGAACTGGAAAACAACTGTATTCCTTTGTCACAGCTCAGTGTGTTTAGTAAAAGAGCCAGTGAATACCAATGGTATCAAATACGAATAATGACTATGTTATAGATATAGGTCCACAAAGACTATGTTTAGAGCATTTTCCACAAGTTGTTCAATGTAAAAGGGCAATGATGATGGTGATTTTTACTATATATTAATTGAAAATTTCAGAGAATATTCTGGTTTTAAAAAATATCTAAGTCACAAAGAGGAGAATTTGGGATAATTTATATGGAAGCATTCTGAAAAATGTAAAACATGCAATACAAATTGAAGAGGAATACTCCAAGAAATCTTGGCCAGGCGCAGTGGCTCACACCTGTAATCCCAGCACCTTGGAAGGCCGAGGCGGGCAGATCACGAGGTCAGGAGATCAAGACCATCCTGGCCAACATGGTGAAACCCCGTCTCTACTAAAAATACAAAAATTAGCTGAGCGTGGTGGCACGTGGCTGTAATCTCAGCTACTTGGGAGGCTGAGGCAGGATAATCACTTGAACCAGGGAGTCAGAGGTTGCAGTGAGTCAGGATTGTGCCACTGCACTCCAGCCTGGCAACACAGCGAGATTCCTTCTCAAAAATAAATAAATAAATAAAAAAGGAAATCTTAGGCATATAGCATGATAAGTGAAAAAAACATAAAAATATCCTATTAAAGTAAAAAACATACAGCATTTATACAGGAAGGCCTATTCAAAGATATACATAAGGTTTTAAATAGCCTCTGTTTTAAATAAGGTGTAATGTATATAATAGATAACACAACAATCACTTAGTAGAAAGTATACTTACAGAGCAATAAAGAAATTTATCCTGGTATGCTCACTTATAGTAAATTTAGCCCTCTTGAAATAAACAAAGGTCATAGCCAAAAGATACTATAAGGAAAAAAGTTAAAAATTAATATTAATGTTTTGCTTTCATAAATAAAACTGCTTTAAAATAGTTAACTTTAAAATTTTCTGATGAATAAGCTAAAACAATAAAGTGTTACTTATTATAGAATTGTGTACTTAATTTTTGGATTCCTGTAATCCACCATGTGAACAGTGAAAAGTAATTCTTGACTATTTATTATATCATTATAAACTAGAATGGACTCCTAAATTTTATTATTGCCAATAGTTTGAGCTAAAATCCCACTTTTATCTAATTTAAATTTCAAACCTATACAGAAACTGAAATAACAGCAAAATGAACAGCCATGCATCCTCACTTAGATGCACCAAATTTGCCATGTTTGCTATCTCTATTTGTGTGTATGTATGTGTATATATAATTTTTCTAAACCCTTTTAGTTACAGACATCCATACTCACTTTTTAAAATAACTTTTTAAAATGATTTCCAAATGACTTCAGAAATTAGAATAACATGGCTGTATTTTCATGGGGAGAATGTGTTTTAAATGTATTATTAGAAAGATACATCTCTAGCCTGATTATTAGCACATATGCCAGGTTCTGTCTGTTCAAATTAAAAACAAGTTATAATAATGTATCAGATTATCTCTCGTAAGACATTTATTCATCCTATTGTAACAGGATTTGCCACAAAGGTGATACCAAGTTTTCACAGTAACTTCCAGTAAAGTACTCTTGAGATCGTGTTAAGACAGTACTCCAGGTAGTTACTTTTCCAACACTGCCCCCTTCTGCACAACAACTTTACTGCACCTTAAAACCATAAAGTTTAAAACTTCCTGACGGGCGCAGTGGCTCACACCTGTAATCCCAGCACTTTGGGAGGTCGAGGCGGGTGGATCACAAGGTCAGGAGTTCAAGACCAGGCTGGCCAATATGGTAAAACCCCCATCTCTACTAAAAATACAGAAAAATTAGCCGGGCGTGGTGGCACATGCCTGTAATCCCAGACATTTGGGAGGCTGAGGCAGGAGAATTGCTTGAACCCGGGAGGCGGAGGTTGCAGTGAGCTGAGATCACGCCACTGCACTCCAGCCTGGATGACAGAGTGAGACTCCATCTCAAAAAAAAAAAAAAAAAAAAGAAAAAGAAAAAAAAAAAATCACATCATAACTCCACATGAATTGTATATTTGATATTACAGCATTACTGTTAATTTTAAAAGTTCTATGACATTGTAATTGTTTTAAAACAGCTCTTAACTTTTAGTGATATATTGTGAAATATTTATGGATAAAATGTTAGGATGTCTGGGATCAGCTTCAAAATAATCGTTTTTGGTGAGAGGCATTAGAAGAAACAAGAACAGCCACAGTTGATCTATTGTAGCTAGATGAGATGCATATGGAGGCTCTTTGTTCTATTCTATTTACTTCAAATTGTGTATGTTTTAAATTTTCCAAAATGAAATTTAAAAAATTTTATAAACCTTCTTCTAGTGTATCCCTGTCATCTTAAGCTTAAATAAAAATCTTCACCCCAGTACTTTGTATTTAATCACAAGCTAACCTTCCACTCATTCCCTTTACTGTTGGCTAGTAGTGATGTAAAGTCACGCTTAATTTTCAAATATGACTGCTTGGTACAAAATGGCATTTACAAAGCTGAAAATTCTTAGCACGAGAAATATTTTTCTAAAAGAAAAAAATTGAAAAATACAAAGCTGAAATTTTATTTTATTATTATTATTTTTTTGAGACAGAGTCTCGATCTGTCGCCCAGGCTGGAGTGCAGTGGCTCGGTCTCGGCTCACTGCAACCTCTGCCTTCTGGGATCAAGCAATTCTCCTGTCTCAGCCTCCCGAGTAGCTGGGACTATGGGTGCGCACCACCACACCTGGCTAATTTTTGTATTTTTAGTAGAGACAGGGTTTCTCCATGTTGGCCAGGCTGGTCTTGAACTCCTGACTTCAGGTGATCTGCCCGCCTCAGCATCCCAAGCGCTAGGATCACAGGTATGAGCGACAAAGCTGAAATTTTAACCATTCAACAAAATCTAAAGAATATAGAAACATCGCTGCTCCCAGTGTGTAAGTCAGACATTCTTTTATGAAACACTGATTCCTAAACAACATGTTAAACTAATTTTACCCTACAAATTACTGAGATTTGTTTTCTCTGACTTACAAAATACTAAAATGCAGACTACCTTAGTAAAGTAAATCTCAGAATATTTTTTCTCCACAGCCTGATAAAAGGTAATAACTGATCAAAATGTATTAAGTCTATACTGATTTTCTGTTTGTGGTTCTTTGGTTTTTGTTCGTTTTTGAGACAGGGTCTGGCTCTGTCACCCAGGCTGGAGTGCAGTGGTGGTACCACAGCTCACTGCAGCCTTGATCTCCCTGGCTCAAGCAATCCTCCTGCCTCAGGATAAAATATATATATATATATATATATATATATATATATATATATATATATATATATATTTTTTTTTTTTTTTTTTTTTTTTTTTTTTAAGAGACCAGGTCTCCCTATGTTGCCAAGGCTGGTCTTGGAACTCCTGGGCTTAAGTGATCCTCTCGCCTTGGCCTTCCACAGTGTTGGGATTACAGGCATGAGCTGCCACACCTGTTTTGATTTCTGTTTTCAATCAAATACAAATTTAAGGTCATTTAAATGTAATCAATAATATTCTACAATTCCTTAAGTATAGACTGAATCTATGCTATATGCTAATTCCAGAAATTCATGTGTAAAGCTTCTGCTTTGAAGGAGCAGTGCAGGCTAGCTCTTATTTTTTTAATTTTTAAATTTAATTAATTTGTTTAGAGACAGAGTCTTGCTCTATTGTCCAAGCTGGAATGCAGTGGCACAATTGATCAAAGCTCACTGTATCCTCCAACTTCTGGGTTCAAGTGATCCTCCCACCTCAGCTGGGTGGCTGGAACTACAGGTGCATGCCACCACACTTGGCTAATTTTTAAATTTTTTAGAGATGGGGGTCTCACTATGTTGCCCAGGCTGGTCTCCAACTCCTGGCTTCAAGTGATCCACCCACCTCAGCCTCCCAAAGTTTTGGGATTACAGGTGTGAGCCACTGCACCTGGCCACTAGCTCTTTTCTTAATCATAACTAATAAGATAGAAAATTCTTATAAGGTCTCATTAAAGCTCTAATGGTTCAGTTACATTATAATGCTGGTTAATTGTTATACTGTTACCAAATTTACCTTGTCTGCAATTTTACAGCAGCAGTCCATCCACAAGAAATCTTGAATTAAATCGTCATCTACAACAAAAGATAGCTATAACTTGTCTTTTAAAAACAGAATGTTTCCTTTTGAAGAATTAATTTCTATGTCAAGAGATTATACATGGTGCTTAGAAATAAAACAAAAATGAATGAACCAGTGTTGCCTAAGGTGGAGTTTTCAGTTCTTTGGTGTATTTACCATTGCAAAGACTGTACGAAAAACTACTGCTTTATCCTTCATCAAGCCATCTGATTTGCCTTAACATATGGCTCAGATTGGAGAATGGTAGAAGTGTTTGGTTTACTGAATATCCAACAGTATTTTTAGTTTTGCATTCTTCTCTCCTATTTATCTCTATTCCACTTTCTATTACTCAAATACATATGAAAATGTCTATATAAAAAGGATTCATAATTCATTATTTATAATTAACATTTTGAAAAAACTATTAGGATAAAAAGATCAACAAACAAACACATTGTTAAAAATAATAACATCTAGAAAGTAGGTAAAATATTTCAATTCTAAAGGGCTAAAATATATAATCTCAAAATACATTAATAGTTGTCAGAATGTAATCTAGAAAAATCTGTTTTTCCATTCCCCCTTTCTCTCTTTCTCTTTTTTTTTTTTTTTTTTTTTAAAGAGACAGGG
The DNA here is from genome assembly GCF_000001405.40 of Homo sapiens. Taxonomy (NCBI): domain Eukaryota; kingdom Metazoa; phylum Chordata; class Mammalia; order Primates; family Hominidae; genus Homo; species Homo sapiens. Next base: position 28,818,428 of record NC_000002.12, on the reverse strand, counting down.
CCTCACTATGTTGCCCAGGTGGGCCTTGAACTTCTGGGCTCAAGTGATCCTCTGGCTTCAGACTCCTGAGTACCTGGAACTACAGGTGCATATGCCACCACGCCAGGCTCCTCTTCTTCATTTTAAGTAAAAAGGCATAACTTCTTTATATTCATTTGTGTACACTAAAATATCATCAATGTAGTCATACGGAAAGTTCCAAGAATAACTACTGATTTCCTGAGAATAAGAATTTCTGCCTTGCTAACTTTTTTTCCTTTTTTTAAACAGGGTCTCACTTTGTCACCCAGGCTGGAGTGCAGTGGCGTGATCTTGGCTCAACTGTAGCCTCAACCTCCTGGGTTTGAGATCCTCCCACCTCAGCCCCCCAGATAGCTGGGACTACAGGTATGCACCACCATGCCCAGATAAATTTTTTTTTTTTTGTATTGTAGAGAGGGGGTTTCACCACGTTGCCCCAGGCTGGTCTTGAACTCTTGAGCTCAAGCGATCCACTTGCCTTGGCCTCCCAAAGTGCTAGGATTACAGGCATGAGCCACCATATCCAGCCTTTTTTTTTTTTTTTTTTTTTTTTTTTGAGACAGAGTCTTGCTCTGTCACCCAGGCTGGAGTGCAGTGGCATGATCTCGGCTCAACTGTAGCCTCCACCTCCCAGGTTCAAGCGATTCTCCTGCCTCCGCCTCCCAAGTAGCTGGGATTACAGGCATGCACCACCACGCCTGATGGGGTTTCACCATGTTGGCCAGGCTGGTCTCGAACTCCTGGCCTCAAGTGGTCCGCCCCCTTCAGCCTCCTAAAGTGCTGGGATTACAGGAATGAGCCACTGCGCCTGGCCCATTAATTCTATTTATAGTTCTTTCTTTTTTTTTGAGACAGTTTCACTCTTGTTGCCCAGGCTGGAGTGCAATGGTGCGATCTCGGCTCACCGCAACCTCCACCTCCCGGGTTGAAGCGATTCTCCTGCCTCAGCCTCCCAAGTAGCTGGGATTACAGGCATGTGCCACCACACCCGGCTAATTTTATATTTTTAGTAGAGACAGGGTTTCTCCATGTTGGTCAGGCTGGTCTTGAACTCCTGACCTCAGCTGATCTGCCTGCCTTGGCCTCTCAAAGTGCTGGGATTACAGGCGTGAGCCACCGCGCCCAGGCTCTATTTATAATTTCTTAAGTTACCTAAAATGGTACAGCCAGGTATTTTCCCGTGTTTCTGATGATGAGTTTTGGGTACTAAAAAAGTTTGCAGGTAATAATTTTGTTCTGCTCTTAATGAAAAGAAGGGGAACTTTTATTAACATTCTAAATCTGATGGGGAAGCATCTTTATATCTTTTTCTACTTATATTCCTTACATTTTTTCCTGTTTCATCTTTTCATTTTGCTTTTCTTTAAATCGTAACTAGCTTGCTTTAATGCGCCTGACCTTCCTCTAGAAACAAGCAAGCTACAATCTACCAGACTGTAGCATCTACTTGACTTGATTCATTACTCCAAATATTTTTCAGAACTCATCTATCCTACCCCTTTTTCTAATCTGTTTACCTTATTACCCTACCTCAAAAAAAAAAAATTCCCTCTCTTTCCTAGTTAGGAGTACAGTACTATAAAGAAGTTTCTTTTTGCCAATGTTAAGAAATTATCAGCAAAGTAGCACTGTCTCATAACCTAAACAAATTCAAACTCAGTTTCATTATATGGACATGATAAAGCATAGTTAATTTTTAACAATGTTCCCAAACTGTTATCCTGAAACTTCTCTAGTGTGACCAAGCTTCCTAGTTTTCTTGGGTTTAGCAGAGAAAGTCCTGGGAAACCCCTTAGGCCCAGTCAAACTGGGTCAGTTAGCTCACCTGAGTCTTTATGTAGTATTTTATTTTAGGTCAAATAAAACTCATGCCATGGGCTATGAAGTTGAATTGCCCAGAATTTACATTTGACATCTGGATTTAAGTAGTCTAGAAGCTAGATGAGTATGAATTTTTAATCCATAAGGAAACAAAACAAACAAAAACCCAACATTGAAAAAAAAAGACTAAGTAAAACAAAAACAAATTTGGTTGGAGATGGGAAATTTAATACAAAAATAATGATATCCTCTTTGATCAGAATAAAAACATTTAGATGTTTACATTCTAGGTTTTTAGTACTTTATAATTACCACTATTACAATATTTTAAACCTACCAAATAATTTAAAGAAAGCAGTCATATCCTGACGCTGTATAACCAGACAAGGTCCTTTGGGGCGTTTAGATTTGTTGTTATTATGTGTATTTTTTTCAAATGCTTGCCAATTATCTTTACAAATAGGACGCTTCAGAGTAATGGGCTTTTTAGGCTGATGTGATCTATTTGACCCTGATTTTACATAAACAGTGACAGTAGGTGGTGTCTCACAACACATCTGATTGTGCCTCATTTTGGTTTCCCAATATTCCTGTAAAAATAAAACATACAATTATTCATCACACACATTCATTTCATATATAAACAACTAACTGGATGATACTACCATATGCAGTCATATAAAATGTTACTAAACTTGCCATTAAAATGTTATTTGTGACAGTGACTCCCATTAAAAATTGCTTTTGAAATTCAGCGCTAGGAAAAGCTATGCTTCTTTTGGGTAACAAACGGACATCCTCTTCCCAAATAAGAAGATACTGTATGCCATTTTGCTTTGGCTGCAGAACTCGACCAAATTTGAAAGTTAATTATAGAAATGATGCTGACTTCATAATTTATTTGTAGTCTTCTTTTTTCCGGCTAATTTTCTAATTTTTTCTATTCTGCTTGAATTGACATAATTTTATTATATTGTTGTTATATGCCACCTCAAATTTTTTATAAACAAGGACAACTATTTCCAGAATGTATTATCAAGTATTAAATTACAAAGCACCCCCCCTCCCACAAAACCCCATATCTCTTTATTGGTAAATTCCTTGATATATTATAAAATTCACTTATTCAATAAGCATTTATTGGTATTTATTGAAAAGTTGAAAGCAATTCTAGCAAAAAATGTAGATGTGCTTTGAAGGCTTTTCATAAATTGGTCTAATTTTTATTTTACTTACTTTTCTGTTTTCCTTTTTTTCTCGTGTGTGTGTGTGTGTGTGTGTGTGTGTGTGTGTGTGTGTGTGTTTCAGACAGGGTCTTGCTCTGTCACCCAGACTGGAGTACGTTGGCATGATTACGGCTCACTGCAGCCTCGACCTCCTGGACTCAAGTGATCCTCCTTCCTTAGCTTCCCTTGTAGTTGGGACCACAGGTGTATGCCACCACATCTGGCTTATTTTTTAAATTTTTGTAGAGATGAGGTCTCACTATGTTGCCCAGGCTGCTCTCAAACTGCTGAGCTTAAGCCATCCTCTCGCCTCAGCTTCCCAAAGTGTGGGAATTATGGGCTTGAGCCATCATGCCTGGCCTGTTCTAATTTTTAAAGTTGTAAGTGTATGACAAAGCTATTTGAGTGACTGATTATAAGTGTATATGAATGTATGTTGTCATAATCTAATAAAATCTGAGACAGTTAATCTATCAATATTTAACAATATACATAATCATCACCTTCTTTGGTGGTGATTAGTTCACATAATTACTACACTTAGTATTATTTTTGTGGTCAAATATTTCTAGGATAATGGGAAATTGAGGTATGAATAGGCAACACAGGAAACTACTCTAGGACCCTACTGAGAACCTCTGAATGCAACCTCACAGTGACTCAGGCAGCCATACCTTCCTTGGTGTTCAAGGAGTGAGGTACAGATTCCCCTTCCTGACCCTCAGAAATTTCCCTTCTGAAGGAAGGACTGGAAAATAAGATTGGATTTAGCGAGGTTAGAACAGCACTGTCCAATATAATGTAAGCCACATATGTAATTTTGTATTTTTAGAGCCACCTTACAAAACAAAACAGATAAAATTACTTTTAATAATAAAGTTTATGTAACCCAATATGTCCAAAAGGCCATTTTAACATGTAATCAATATAAAAATCAGTGAGATAGTTCACATTCTAAGTCTTTGAAATCTGCTGCGTATTTTCCTCTTACAGCATATCTCAATCTTTTTTTCTTTTTTTTGTTACTTTAGATGAATATGCTTATATACAAATCTGTTCTGATACTAATTTTTCAACAGTAAAAGTGAAATGCAGTCCTATTTTTAAAAATGAAGTAATTTGTAGGAGAAAAATATGCTCCTTCAGTTTTTAAAGTAAAAATTAAATTATTCAGTTTCAAGTGTTTAATAGACACAAGTGGCCAGTGGCTACCATATTAGATAGCACAGGGCTACATTTTGAAGAACTAGGCAGAGGAATATACTTATCTAATTGCTCCTCTCATCCCATCTTTCTTCCTAGATCCTAAAGTCCTGCCAAATTGAAGGCAATTATGTACTTGGGGTGCGGGTTATAAACTCCATAGAAAGAGGAGTAGGTGATAAATTGAGCCTTGAGACTTGAGTAAGAACGTTCTGCTCTTTCCTGCCCACCTCATCTGGGAGACAGCTGGAGGCCTCATCTGCATATTTTTTTCAAAGTAAGAGCAGCCTTAAATCTAGATAGAAGAGCCGGGCGCAGTGGCTCATGCCTGTAATCCCAGCACTTTGGGAGGCTGAGGTGGGCGGATCACCTGAGGTCAGGAGTTTGAGACCAGCCTGACCGACATGGTGAAACCCCGTCTCTACTAAAAATACAAAAATTAGCTGGGCATGGTGGCAGGCGCCTGTAGTCCCAGCTACTGGGGAGGCTGAGACAGGAGAATTGCTTGAACCCGGGAGGCGGAGGTTGCAGTGAGCCGAGATCATGCCACTGCACTCCAGCCTGGGCAACAGAGCAAGACTCCGTCTCAAAAAAAAAAAAAAAATCTAGATAGAAGAAACTAAAGAGTACTCAGGATTCTCAAATTCTAGTATGGAGTTATCAGTGGTATAGTACCGTGGCTAAGAATTCTGCTTCAAATTTGAGTGTTGGGGCTAGACTTGGGTGGAATGTACCAGAACACAAAATAACTGTGGCACATATTCCAGAAGATAAGTTTTACTCAATGCTAAGTAACCTAAAATAGTGCTTTTATATTAAAACAACCATGGATATATCATAAAATATAATGCAAATTTTCTATCAATCAAAAAGGTAAAATATATCCACAGTAGGCGTCTTTACACTATTCCTCTAAACCCTTATGTATGTGTTGGGATATTTCCCATACAATTTCAGAAAACTGAATGAGAAGAAAATGTCTGAAATTCCCCAAGTGGAGCTTCATTGTCTTTAATAAGCAAACACTGGCAGAAAAGGTACATACAACAAGCTGAAGGAGAGAAGCTATCAATGCTAGTCTTGGTCAATTTCTACCTAAGGGTATCTTTTAATTTTGCTCTTCACTTAGATATACTAAGAGAATGAGAGTTCTTATAGAGCAAGCAAGAGGAAAGGAACGAAAACCAAATTAAAAATATGAGCCATTTTAGGAACTGCAAGAGATAGGGAAAGAAGGAGAAGTAGGAGAAACTGTGCTCATCAGGTAAAATCCTTTAATTTTTTTTTTTTTTTTTTTTTTGAGACGGAGTTTCGCTCTTGTCGCCCAGGCTGGAGTGCAATGGCTCGATCTCGGCTCACTGCAACCTCCGCCTCCTGGGTTCAAGCGATTCTCCAGCCTCAGCCTCCTGAGTAGTTGGGATTACAGGAGCCTGCCACCACGCCCCGCTAATTTTCGTATTTTCAGTAGAGATGGGGTTTCGCCATGTTGGCCAGGCTGGTCTCCAACTCCTGACCTGAGGTGATCGGCCCGCCTCGGCCTCCCAAAGCGCTGGGATTACAGGCGTGAGACACCATGCTCGGCCTCCTTCAGTGAATTTTTATATGGACTCCATGAACATTAAAAAAATCATACCAGGATTCATACTTGAATAGGATGTTTGGGATTTTCTTTCTTTCTTTCTTTCTTTTTTTTTTGGTAAGTAAATCACAAAAATTCTAGAGGCATCTGAAATAACCTCTTCTCTGGGGGGTGATATAAAGGGTGGTGGTTCCCAGCCATAATATGAAACAAGCAGAAGTTGTCTGGGGATTCATTTGCCTATATGAAAAACCTAATAGCAATATCCATTGGCAACTCAGTCAGGACAGGCAAGTAAGCCTTAACTTCCTTATGAATGCAGTCACACACAGAGAATATGTGCCAGACACTGATGAATGTGTTACATGCATTATCTCATTTAATTCTCAAAACATCTCTGTGTGGTAGGTATTATTTTATCCTTATTTTCTAGATAAGAAATTTGAGGCTTAAAGAAGTTAAGAAATTTCCCAAAGGCTCATAGTAAGTGATAAAGCTAGAATTTGAATGCAGAACTGACATCAAAGTCCCATATTCTTTAACCAGTAAATCAGTTTTAAATATTAAATAAAATCATGTGTAAAACACTTGACACATAGTAAGCACTCCAGTATTACTTATCGTCACCTTGCCAAGAAAACAAAACCAGCTAACCCCAGCTATAAGGCGATCTCGGATCACTGCCACCTCTGCCTCCCGGGTTCAAGCGATTCTCCCGCCTCAGCCTCCCGAGGAGCTGGGATTACAGGCGCCCGCCACCATGCCAGGATACTTTTTTTTTAAGTTATTTTTTGTAGAGACGGGTTTTAGCTCACTGCAACCTCCGCTTCCAGGGTTCAAGCGATTCTCCCGCCTCAGCCTCCCAAGTAGCTGGGATTACAAGTGCGCACCACCATGCCCGGTTAATTTTTTTTTTCATTATTTTTTTGTAGAGACGGGGTTTTCGCTGTGGGCTGCTCTCGAATCCTGGCCTCAAGGATTCGCCCAACTCGGCATAAGGCTTTTTAAAAGATTGAGGCTAGGGGCCCTCCAGTCCTACTGGATGTCATGTAAGAGAATCTTCGTGAATTCTGAGAAATGAGCTACGGGCCTGGTACTGAGACACAGCAGCTCAGATCTCAAAATTCTGGGGCAGACGATCTTGGGGACAAAAAGAGGTGTTTAATGGGACATAAGGAGGTAGGATTTATCAAAAAGACCCCCCAAATCTCCATTCCTCCCACAATAAAGGCGGCAGGCACACGTGGAGACGGGAGCGCCTGCCCAGGGCCCTCCCTCCGAGCAGACGGCCGAGCTTCGGGAGCAGCCTCCGGTATCGGCCCTGCCCGTCCTTCCCCTGGAACCTTCACCCGCTACGCCGCCGGGCGGAGGGCGGCCAAAGCCCCAACCTGCGCGGCCACTGCCTCCCTCGCCAGGTCCCTCAGCCCAGAGCCCGCTGCGGGGAGCGCGTGTGTCGTCGCCGCGAAGGCAGCTGAGGGCGCCCACGGGAGGCGGCGTGAGGACGAGGCTGGAGCGCTGCCTTCTCATCTAAGGCGGGCGGTGGGGTCGCCGGCGAGCGAACCCAGGGACCGGGCACACTCGAAACTGGAGATTCGCCTGCGAGGCCCCTTCCCGGGGGCGAGCACAGGTACCTGCGGAAGCCCGGGGCTGCGCGGGAGAGGGCCGGGCAACGGCGGTCAAGGCTCCGTCGCAGCGCTCCTGGCCTCAGACGGTTGCTCGTCGGTCGCTAGCCAGCAGCGGTACCCGCTCTAAGGTCTCCCGCCAACCCGGAGCGAGGGAGCGCGAGGCCGGCAGGGGCCAATCAGCGCGCACAGCCGGCCGAGGGGGCGGGGCCTGCCTGGGAGTGCGCGCCGGCGAACCCCGCCCCTCCCTGCCCCCCGCCCGCCCGAGCCTCGGCCGCGGGCCTCCCTCCTCCGTTATCCCGCCTGCCCGCGCAAAACTCACACAACCCTCTTCATTCGACCTACCTCCCTTGGGCACGTCTCGCAGTCAGGCTTGCGTTGGGGCCGTTTACTTCCCTTCGATTAGACAACCAGGCCCCCGGGGCTGGGGCTGCGGCCTCCCCTCCCCGCCCGGCACACGCGGGCACAGCGTGGTTACCCTGGTTACTCAAAAGGAAGAGGCCGCTTGAACTGAGAAAAGCACAACGTGTGAATACGGTGGCTTCTTGTGAGAAGGGGCCATTCTATTGTAACTGTGAATCTGCAGCAGTAATCTTTTTGGCTTTGTCCTAGCCTTTGACTACGTGGGTGCTTAATACATGCATGTTGAATGAACAAATAAAAAGAATTCTAAACAGCTTTTTGATCCCATCCTTTCCTTATGTCCCTCCTAAGGTATAACCGGCTTTTTCTTTCTTTTTGAGACTGAGTCCCGCTCTGTCGCCCAGGCTGGAGCAGTGGCACGATCTCGGCTCACTGCATACCTCTGCCTCCCGGGTTCAAGCAGTTCTCCCGCCTCAGCCTCCTAAGTAGCTGGGACCACAGGTGCCGCCACGCCCGCCTAATTTTTAAACATGCCTTGTAGAGCAGAGTCCTATGTGGCCCAGGCTGGCCTTGAACTGAACTCAGGCAATCCTCCCACTGGGATTACAATCCTAAGCCACCACACCCAGTGTAAATCTTTTTTTTTTTTTTTTGGTCTCCATATCACGGCTTTTTTCATGTTGCTAGTCTTTCGAAACGTTTTCAATGACTGCATAATATTCCAGAGTGGATGGACCATTTAAGTCATTTCAATATTTGGATTGCTTCCAGATTTTTTGGCTAATACAATGATTACTCTTAAAAGGCAACCTGGCTCTGCCTACTTGTGGTACTTCCAGCAAATAGCTCCTCAATCAGCAGTTCTGAAGAACGAGTTAATTCCTTCCTTCTTGTGCTTCCACACACAGCACAATAATGACAAATTCACCTACAAGTACGAGGAGGGGGCCAACTGGGAACTTATTTTTCCTTACACATGCCCTTGACTCTTTCTCCCTGGCCTATAAATGGGAGAATGGGCCAAGAAGCATCAACTGGTTGTGAAAATCTTGAGGAAAATGGCTGCTTCAAGCTTCATTCCTCTAGCTTTTCCCTAAGGATCCTTCCTGACTTCTCTCTGCTCTTCCCCTTGTTTTTGCAAGGTACCGGTGTTGTGATGATTAATTTCCAGCCTCGAGTATAAAATATTTACTGAACAATTAATGTCCGCTACATGAAAAACACAGAGGCATGGCAAGTACCACAATGATGAAGACAACATGGCCTTACCTTTCTAGAGCTTCCAAGCTAGACAGATATGGACACAACTAAAATACAAGGCACAGTGAGTTGTGCCATGAAGGAAATGCAAGTGGCTGTATAACGCACAAAGTACAGTTATGAGAAGGTTCTTTAGGATCCCAAAATCTTTACAAAGGAAACATGTAAAATTTGCATATAAAAGCCAGCAAATACACATAAATATTCATTAAGCTATCAGGGAAGCAGCTTATTGCTTAAGTTTTGACTTCAAGTAAAGGGTTACTACCAACTAAGCCTTCTTGAGTGTTCTCATTCCTGAGTTTGTTTTGTTTTTTAAACTATGTTGGTGTGTGGAGAAAAGTGAATATACTTTAGAATCATATACACTTGGTTTGAATTCAGGTACTACCATTTTACTAGCTGTATGAACGTGGTCAAATCATTTAACCCTGGCACCTCTCATTAAATGTAAAAGTAGGGTGATACCACCTACTCTGTAAAAGCGTCTGGGGCGAATTTGATAGCGAGCAAACTAGCAGTGCACTGGTCCACAGTAGGTGTTGTTAGCTTCCTTCTTGCCTCTTTTCATTTGACCTGGGATTGGATGAGAACTCAAAACACTTAACTGAACAATTTATTCCTTTGTCTCTAGGCATGGCTTTTCCCCACTAAAAAAGCATTGATTGTCCATAACTTGATCATCTCCTGCACTGTGTCCTGCAGTGCCTCCAGGTTGTCCCCATTCTAATTTCCTAACTCTCCTTTCCTAAATGTATCTCCTATTATCCAGTAAGAATGAGAGAAACACTCATACTTGTTTTGAACTTTCCCACTTCTTTGACCTTGCATATTACTGTAGTGTGCTCTCTTCATCACTCTCATTTAAAATTTCTGTCTGGTATCCAGCCTTTGAGACCCAGCTTAAATTAATCAGCTCATCATCATTTGAGTGCTTAGTAAGTGCAGGCTGTGTGCCATGCTTGAATTCCTGTAGCATTTTCTGAAATTATCATTTATGTAATCTTATTAACCAGCTTTTTAAAATAAAAATGTTTGTGTATACAGATACAATTATATATGAATCGGATCATATACATACTTTAAAAATGTACAAAACAATACATGTAGCATATATGGAGGCTGAGACATAATAAAAACTTGTGAAGCCACCGCCTACCAAAACACATGAACCTAACATCCAAGAGACAGGACATCAACAATACTGTTGAGATTCTGTATGCTCCTCCTTCTCCCATTATGATCCCCAGGAGGCGACTGTTTCCCATTCTCTTTTCTTTGCGTATCCTAAAACACAAGTTTTATTTGTGAACTATTCAACCTCAGTATTCCTCATAGATTTAGCCATGCTAATGCATAACACTGTGAATCATTTTCATTGTTGCTTTCTGTTCTAGAAATATACCATAATATACCAATGCTCCTGTCAATGGGCATTTGGGTCATTTTTTTGGGCATTTGGATCCTTTTGCTACTGTGAATGCCATGGGGAACGCCTCTGCAAGGCCATATTGTTTACAGCTGGTTCAAGTTCCGATTAACTGGTGGTCTGATTGGTGAATGTCTACGACTTAAAATCAAGTATTTTGACTACTTTGCTTGTTAATGCACCATGGTGCACTTTTTCCATAAATGCTTTAAAGTGAAATTGATGGGTTGTAGGGCATGCACATGTTCAGTTTTAAAAGGTTATAAATGCTAAATTCATTTTCCAAGCAGTGTTACCAATTTTAAGAGTTCCCATTAGTTTACATCTTGTCAACTTATTTTCAGGTTTTCTGTGACTAGATGATTTTTTTTTTTTTTTTTTTTTGAGACGGAGTCTCGTTCTGTCACCCAGGCAGGAGTGCAGTGGCGCGATATCGGCTCACTGCAAGCCCCGCCTCCCGGGTTCACGCCATTCTACCTCAGCCTCCCGAGTAGCTGGGACTACAGGTGCCCGCCACCACACCCGGCTAATTTTTTGTATTTTTAGTAGAAACGAGGTTTCACCGTGTTAGTCAGGATGGTCTCCATCTCCTGACCTTGTGATCCGCCCGCCTCGGCCTCCCTAAGTGCTGGTATTACAGGCATGAGCCACCGTGCCCAGCCGACTTAACACAGAAGACAGCTCTGGATTTTCTTTTCAGCACCCTTTTCTAGTAAATGGTTCTACCTAACCTGCTAAACCACTTGAAAGCAGGGATAGTTGCTATGTTCATGCAATATCCCTTCCCTCTCTTACTTGATGGAGTTGTAAGGGTCTTTGAGACAAATTGGGCCAAATTTCTTTCGTGTAATTCTGCACTGAGACCACGTATTCAGCCTGGGTGACTGTTCTTTTAAGTTAAAGAGATTAAAAGCTCTGAGAAGTATCAAAAATAGAACAATTGGCCGGGCACGGTGGCTCATGCCTGTAATCTCAGCACACTTTGGGAGGCCGAAGTGGGTGGATCACCTGAGATCAGGTGAAACCCCGTCTCTACTAAAAATGCAAAAATTAGCCGGGCGCAGTGGCACGCTCCTGTTATCCCAGCTACTCGAGAGGCTGAGGTGGGAGACCTGCTTGGACCCAGGAGGTGGAGGCTGCAGTGAGCCAAGATGGCGCCACTGCACTCCAGCCTGGATGACAGAGCAAGACCCCGTCTCAGAAAACAAAACAAAAGCAACAACAAAAGAAATAGAACAATCATTCTAACAACATAACTGTATTAAATTTCTGTCTAGAATAGTTTTCTCCACTGTATCAGACTTTTTTGTTCCTTACTGAAAAGATAGTTGATCTTTCTCCATACTGCCTATGACATACTTGTGCTAGATGAGGCAACAGCCTCTCCAAGTTCGATTCCTAGTTTTAAGTGCTCATACTTACTGGATGAATTCTGAAAGACAAAATATTACACAAATTATACAACTTTCCTAAAATATGTGAGGTGGCTCACTACAAAGGTGACATTAAGATCAAGAAAACAGAATAGAGACTATAGAAAGGGGAGGAAAGAAAGTAATCCTGAGGATCTTGCGATGTTTGTTCTCAGTAACAGGCAACTTCTCCACTATGCCTGTCAGGTGCTAGCTGCAAAATGCTCCTTCAAGAAACTCAGCCTCCCGAGTAGCTGGGATTACAGGTGTGTGCCACCAGGCCTGGCTAATTTTTGTACTTTTAGTAGAGACAGGGTTTTCCCATGTTGGCCAGGCTGGTCTCGAACTCCTGATCTCAAGTGACCTGCCAGCCTTGGCCTCCCAAACTGCTGGGATTACAGGCGTGAGCCACCGTGCCTGGCTGACTTCTTAAACTTACCAATAGTTTACAAAGTAGGGGCCAGAGTTTTGACAAACCATTTATTTTGGCAGTACAGACTCAAATCAATTTTCTCCTTGAAACTTCAGCATTCTTGTCATAAGAGACAAAAGCAGTTACATGAGGATAAAGAAAAACTGGAATTTTATTATTTGTGGTTAACTTCTTCAGGTCAAGGTGTCAAAACAGTAATACAAGTAGAGATTTTTGACACCCACTTGCCATTCATTAAGCAAGTATCTGCAGGCCTCCTATGTGGCAGGCGCCACTCTACGATAAGGAGATACGAATCAGTGAACAAAAGAGAAAAAAAATACCTGCATGGGCGCAATGGCTCATGCCTGTAATCCCAACACTTTGCGAGGCTGAGGTGGGCGGATCACTTGAGCTCAGGAGTTGGAGACCATCCTAGGGAACATGGTAAAACCCCCCACTCTACAAAAATTAGCAGGTATGGTGGCACATGCCTGTAGTCCCACCTACTACGCAGGCTAAGGTGGAAGGATGGCTTGAGCCCAGGAGGTTGCAGTGAGCTGAGATTGTGCCACTGTGCTCCAGCCTGGGCACCATAGCAAGACCCTGTCTCAAAAAAAAAAAAACAAAAAACCCTGCCCATAGAGCTACATTCTAGTCACATACAAGACTGATCTAGGCCTTATGACTTTTAAAGACAAATGTAACAAAGTTTTTTTTTTTTTTTTGAGACGGAGTTTCCCTTGTTGCCCAGGCTGGAGTGCAATGGTGCCATCTTGGATCACTGCAATCTCCACCTCCCAGGTTCAAGTGATTCTCCTGCCCCAGCCTCCCGAGGAGCTGGGACTACAGGTGCGCACCACATCTAGCTAATTTTTGTATTTTTTTTTTAGTAGAGACGGGGTTTCACCATGTTGGCCAGGATGGTTTCGATCTCTTAACCTCGTGATCGGCCCGCCTCGGCCTCCCAAAGTGCTGGGATTACAGGCATGAGCCACCGCGCCTGGCCGACAAATACAACAAAGTTTTAAAGGAGCATTCAACATCCTAATGGATCTGTATAAGAAATAATTGATGATATATTAAAAATAAAATGGGCTGGGCATGATGGCTCATGCCTATAATTCTCCCAGCACTTTGGGAGGCCAAGGCGGCAGGATCACTTGAGCCTGGGAGGCTGAGGCTTCAGTGAGCTGTGATCAGGCTACTGCACTCCAGCCTGGGCGAGAGAGTGAGACCCTGTCTCAAAAAAAAAAAAAAAAAAGGGATTACAACTTGTGTTGTCAGTGAGCATACCCAGAGTTTGGGGAATTCACTAAAAGAAGATTAGGGTCTTCCACTCAAAACAGGCTTTACAGTACAGCAATAAAGACTTTTTAACCTGTTCTTTAATATGACCAATAGAATTAATTTCAGTGGAATTATCAAGCTGCAGTTAAGAGATGTGCTACAAAATCTGAGGCAATTACACTGGGAGGCAGAGATCTGTGTTTCTAAAATTTTTTTTTTTTTTTTTTTGAGATGGAGTCTCGCTCTGTCGCCCAGGCTGGAGTGCAGTGGCGTGATCTCAGCTCACTGCAAGCTCCACCTCCCGGATTCACGCCATTCTCCTGCCTCAGCCTCCCAAGTAGCTGGGACTACAGGCGCCCGCCACCACGCCCAGCTAATTTTTTATGTTTTTAGTAGAGACAGGGTTTCACCATGTTCGCCAGGATGGTCTCGATCTCCTGACATCATGATCTGCCTGCCTCAGCCTCCCAAAGTGCTGGGATTACAGGCATGAGCCGCTGCGCCCGGCTAAAATTTCTTATTGAAGTCAGGTAACAGTTTTATGTGCTGGGCCCAGTTATATGTTGGATCCTGAGCCTCACCCAAGATTTCCTGATAATCTCAATTCCTTATTACATGTGATAAACTACATTTCCTAATATGTAGCTTAATTTTTAAGTTGGTAAATTGAGTAGTTATGAGTTCTACAAGACATTAAGTTTTCTCCAGCAACTCCACCCTGCACATCCTCCTTCTCAGGGATTTTTATTAAACTAAGAGCTAGAGAGACAAAGTTTATATTTATTCAAGAATGGAACAGGTGTCAGTCTGTCAATAACCTGCTGGTAAACAGCAGCACTGTCAGAAACCATGCCAATTATCAGTTTGAGTTATACATATATTGGAGGTAGCATTTCAACACTCTGGTTTTGTTTCTTTGGCTTTTTTTTTTTCCAAAAAATATACTAGGAGATTTAAGACTTACTTCAGATTAAACTTGTTACATTAAGAAAACACTCTTGGCCGGGAGAGGTGGCTCACGCCTGTAATCCCAGCACTTTGGGAGGCCGAGGCAGGCAGATCATGAGGTCAGGAATTAGAGACCAGCCTGGCCAACATGGTGAAACCCCGTCTCTACTAAAAATACAAAAATTAGCTGGGTGTGGTGGCAGGCTCCTGTAATCCCAACTACTCAGGAGGCTGAGGCTGGAGAATCGCTTGAACCTGGGAGGTGGAGGTTGCAGTGAGCCAAGATCATGCCATTGCACTCCAGCCTGGGAGACAAGAGCAAGACTCTCTCTCAAAAAAAAAAAAAAGAAAAAAAGAAAAAAAGAAACTCCTCTGGACTACTTTTTTCTGTTGCACTGTATTACTTGCCTTTGTGGTTTTGTCGAGAATCAGTGTTTACATGATAGACCATAAATTACTGTGCCTTTTAATAAATTTGTACAATAATCTATGAAAGTTCTAGATGTTTAGCTGTGATGTCACTGGTTTTGTAGGAAAAATTTGGCCTGTAAATCTGCTGAATCATTCTGATTAGGCAGCTGTAAAAATTAATACATATTTTAACTTGCCGATCCTATGCCAGGCTTCACTGAAAAGCCTCCAGGAACAGACCTTAGGTTCCCACCTTTTTGCATATAGTATCTGAAAGGAATGCTGAACCTATTAGCCTCAGGCCGTTAGTTTGTTCTCTCTTACACACACACACACACACACACACACACACAAACCCTCCCCACCCGCACCCCCTGTTCACTTGCTATCTTCCACCCTGTATACCCCAAACAATGTGGTGTTGTAAGTAAGATTTCATAATCACATAAACTAGCAAAGATCCCTAAGAGGAAAGAAGCAAAGATTTATGGTCATTTTTGTAAAAATAAGGTTTAATAAAACATCAGCAATCTGCATGAGAAGGTAAATTACAATGAGAAACTTAAAAAGCTTACGGTCTAAGTCAACCAATGTAGAAGGTAGTGGTTGAAGAAAACAAGCTTTGACTTTTAAAATTTCCTAACCAGGGGATTTATTTAGAAATTCTGGCATTCAAATGTACATGTAAAATCCAATTTAACAGATCAAAATTGTTACACTAAGTTTCACTTAGTATCTAAGTATCCAATCACAATTGTATCTAAGTTTCACTTTTAAGAAACATTATAAAGGTAATTAAAACTCTAGGTGTATACTTATATGGAACTAGTTTATTTCCTATTTAACTACTGTTCATTGCGTAAAGTATGTTGTCCCAATTTTCAGCTGTTTTAAGGAATTATAAAACATTGAGATCTACTAGGAAGAGGGAAAGCCTACTTCTAAGTGATGCCACTAGTACAATCAGGCTTGGATTAAGTCTCTTCTCAGGGGCAGCTTTGATTTAGCCATGGACTCACAAGGAAAACAAGAGGTGGATTTGGTTAGGGAGCAACAGCAAATTCAGCCCGACCATATTCCTAATCTAAACACATTTTCAGCATAAAGATGTAAAAACAATTTTTTTTGGTTCAAAAGTTATGGTTGCCATGGAGACAAAAAGAATATACCTGAATTTATAAACTGAGATATATTTCAGCTCCTTGGCTTAAAATAATACATCTTTATATTCTTGAGACATATCTCAAGATGTTCCTTGCTTTGCCTTGAATAAAAATTTTTTTGAAAAGCCTATGTTTCTCGTGAACACACTCATACTTCAAATTTACCACCTATTTTAAGCTTTAAAATTCTTCTTGCCAGCATTTTTCAGCTAAAAAAAATCATTTCACGAATGTTTAGGTACTTTTTACAATGAAGGGATATGGCAGCATGGATACTGGGTAGCTGGCTAGGCTCTAAATACCTGATGACTCAACGCTTTGCACAAACCAGTCTTGCTGATTATTAAAATTTGTCCCTGGGCAAAATTAAAGCAATGCATGTTAAGGCTTCAAATGCAAAGGATTCACTGTAGTTGATTCTTTCAAGAATAGAAATCGACCATAACTTTGCTTTATAATCCATGTGATACACCACATTATAACAGATATCTACTGTGTTTCATGATTTCTGAATGTCATAACATTTGGATTAAATTGTATACAAAAAAATCACTAACCTGAAAAAAATCAGAGGAAAGAACAATATAAATTAGTGACACTGGAATTACAGAATCATTTTCTCCTAAGAAACAAAGTTTTATTTATTTCAAGTCGTGTTGCCAAGCAAATATTTGTAAAGAACACATTTTTATGACTGGAGGCTGTTTAAGTGGTTTTAAGAGTGCTTGAATAATTTTTAAACATGATAAATTTCCATCCTTTAAATTTAATGACCAATATTAATTAGCTTAAGTAGTGATTATTTTTTCACATTTAGTCTTTAAAAAAAAAAAAAAGGATTCCTATTAACCAACATACTTAGTCTTGACCTGGATGAATTTACAAAAGCCAGACAATGGGATACAGATTAATGTGGTTTAATACTGAGATTAATCAACATTGCCCTTTTTCCCTGCCAAAGGCTTATTTTCTAGACCTGCTTCACTATGACTACTAAAAGTGTACAACTAAAATTTTATTAGAAATCGCTCAGCTTACACACTCCAATCAGGAAGTTATTTAAATCACCTCAGATAAAACCTTTGTGACCTAACCTAATACATCATATGCAGATCATGAATACTTTCAGAAAAGAATCATTTCAATATGTCAAGGACATAGTATCTATGTGAATAAAATGTGTGCTTAAATGTCTCACTGTAAGGAAAAAAAAAATCAGTCAGGCTTCATATCAATTAGACAACTTTTACTAAATGAGAAAACTACATTTAAAATGTGCTTTAAAACAAAACGGAATTAGAAAAAAAGACATATGCATTTTAAAGAACTTTTGCACTGTGCTGAAAATGAAATATCTCTTGCAGTAAGTAATACAATGTGCCAATTCATAAAATGTAAGTTAACAGGTTTCTCAATTTAACATTTTCAAAGACGATATTAAGGTCAAAAATGTCACATCTATGGTAGCACATATAGAAGGGCATTATAGATATGATGTCCATCCCTATGAAGCTTACAAATTTGACAATGCTCAATAAAAGCTTTTAGAATCACATCCAATAGTGTCACAGTCAAAGAATCACAAATCTGTGTCCTGTAAGTTCTCTCCTTCTAAAATCTTCATGTTAACTTTTCTACTCATTGCCATTTGTTAATACTAACCCTTAAAAAAAAGAAATAGGAAAAGAAAGGCTGCAATAAACTTGATCAGGTACAGAAATTATTGCTACTATACTTCACTACAAAGCTTGTCTATACAGTATCATATGACCTTTGATTATGAAAAAATCAGAATAAAAATCTTTAGTGACATAAGCCTTACAATCGTATACAACATTCACATGGCAATATTAGACAGTTAAGCACCCAATACCCATAGTTGACAAAATGTCCCACTGACCAGCATTCATTTAAATACATCCTTCGTATAGAGGGAGGAAAAAGAGACAGTGTCAGCTTTCCAAGGCTTGTCAAAAAAGGATTCTCATGTACTGTGGATCTAAAAACAAACAACAACTCAAAAAAAAAAAAAAAAAAAAAAAGAAAGAAAAAAGAAAAAGAAAACCAATGCAGGTGAAGGTGTTACCAGGAAGTTAAGCATGCCAAAAGGTGTTCCGTGCGAATGAAAACCTAAAGCCAAGGTACCACATAATCACATTACCAACTAGTTGGGTAATACTATATGAGCCTTATCTTAAATGAAATGCTACTGCACAATAGAGCATCAATAAGTTAAAAATTAGAGTGCACAAATCCAAATCAGTGTCAATTCCTGTATAAAGCAAAATATTCACTATCAGCTGTAAAGTTTGCCCAGTCAAACTGTATGATTAAAATCACTGGATTGGACAATGTGCGTATTTTTTTTTAAAACAATCAATCTCTAAAATTCCTTTTTAATGTAATGAGGCGAAAGTTTTCTTAGTAAGATTAAACAGATATCTAAGTAGATAAACAAGGGAAAATAATAGTTGGTGAATGTCTGTAAAGCTCTTCCCATATTTCACTTTTAAAAATGTTTAGGGAAAAAAATTAGAAGTATTTGCCATTATTCTAGTGAAAACAAACAAAAACAAAACAAGCTCAAAATAATTAAACAACCAAGCAACACTAAAACCACATTACACAGATGGATCATCATGCTTTCATCTGGTTTAACTATCACATCTAGTTTAACTGGGATGCTTTTCAACTTTAAAAATTGTGATACATGAAGATGTAACTTTAATGGATAATTTTGAATTTGGATTTAACTTTGTTGACTATAACAGAGTATACTTATTACAATACAGTGTAGCACATCTTTCTATTAGAAAAAAATTTAAGATCCTTTACCCGTCTCCTTAAGTTAAAGGTGTGACATCATAAAGGGTGTCAAATGGCTGGATGGTTTTACAGTGCACACTTATATATTATGAAGTATGTCCTTAACAAATCTGATGGTTTCTTTACAGAATTCCTTTCTTCACCTTTTCTTCGGCGGATTAGCTGTTCGAGGTGGAGTGACAGGACGTCCAGAATTCAGTCCACCATACTGGTATTTAGCTTTCTTTTCAGATGGTTTCAATATCTTAAAGTAAATTATTAACAAATAATGTTATTTTTTCATGTACAGAAGTTAAGAAAATTGTTACAATTGTGATTTTCAATAAATGGCATAAACTGCAAAAATGCAATAAAAATGTAGAATAGCAAAGTTCCATAAACATTTCTTAAAGTGTGCAAATGTCTGAACTTTGTCATTCCACTCATATTTTAATAACAAAAGTACACTAACTCTATCAACTATCCAATCCTTAGATTTAAGTAAAAAACTTTTTGAACTTAGTGTATCTCTGTTGTGAGGAAAAGAACACTGGTTTAAGAGTCAGAAGATCTATGTTGTCATCATAATTCTGATACAGTAACTTAGGAGGGTAACTAACCTACAAGTCACAAACCCTTCAGACCTTATTTATTTATGTATAAATAGATCTTTTTACTTAAAAAACAGCTTTATTGATATAAATCTAATTTTAGAACATTTGTCACCCCAAAAAGAAAGCTTGTTCCCATCAGCAGTCACTCCCCATTCCTGCTCTCCACATCCTCTAACTCTAACCAACTACTAATCTACTATGTGTCTCTATAGAATTGCCTATTCTGAACATTTCATATAACTGGCATCATATAATATGTGGTCTTTTGTGACTGGCTTCTTTCACTCAGGTTTTCAAAACCAGTTTTGAAGTATCAGTCCTTCATTCCTTTTTATTGCTGAGTTGTACATTGTACAGTCCATTGTATGGATGTACCACAGTTTATCTATTCAGTAGCTGATGGACATCTGAATTGTGTGACTTTTTCGGCTATAAGGAATAATGCACATTTATGTAACAGTTTTTGTGTGAACATGTTTTCATATATCTTGGGTATATACCTAGAGGTAAAACTGCTGCATCATATGAGAACTCTATTCCCACCATTAATGTATGAAGATTCTAATGCCTCCAAATCCTTGCCAAAACTTGATACAGTCTGGCTTTTTTACTACACTCATTCTGGTGGATGTAAATAGAGCTTTAACCTACATTATACATAAAAAAGTCATGATTTTCCAAAACTAAAACAGTATAGAAATATGTACAAAGTATTTTTTAAAAACTATTTAGAACATAATAGTGCCTTAGTGAAGAGAATATATTAATCCAACACCACTATGACAACTGCTGGAAGGATAAGGTATGGTTACTATATTTAATTTGTAAATGAGCAATCAACCATTTACCATTCAATTGTACTAATTGATGGAAACAGTATATTATGATAAAGAGAAAGAGGAATGGGAAAGCCCCAATGCATTTTAAGAGAAATACAGTGTGTGTACATCAAAGACATAGAATAGCCTTTGCAAAAGCAAAGTACTGAAGCTGTTTTACTCAGTGAACAAGAATGATTTGTAGGAGCACACTAAAGCTAAAACTGGCCTCTTTTAAAAATGTAAATGTTGAAACCAAAAGTTGGTTCTTCAAAAGAATAAACAAGATAGACTGCTAGCTAGATTAAGAAAAGATCCAAATAAGCACAATCTGAAATGAGAAAGGTGACATTACAACCAACCCCACAGACATACAAAATACCTAGAGATTATAAACACCTGTGCACACAAACTAGGAAACCTAGAATAAATGAATACATTCACAAAAACACACATGCGCTCCCAAGAAATGAATTCATAGAAACACACATGACCTCCTAAGAAATGAATAAATTCATAGAAACACACACAAACTCCGAAGACTGAACCAGGAGGAAATTAAAATCCTGAACAGAACAATAACAAGTTCCAAAACTGAATCAGTAATAAAAAAACCTATAAACCAAAAAAAGCCCTGGCCCAGAAAGATTCACAGCTGAATTATATCAGATGTACAAAGAGCTAGTACCAATCCTACTGAAACTATTCCAAACAATCCAGGAAGAGGACCTCCCCCCTAACTCAGTCTACGAAGTGAGCATCATTGTAATACCAAAACCTAGCAGAGGCACAAGGAAAAAAGAAAACCTCAGGCCAATATCCCTGATGAACACAGATGCAAAATCGTCAACAAAATACTAAAACCGAATCCAGCAACACATCAAAAAGTTAACTCACCACAATCAAGAAGGGTTTATTCCTGGGGTGCAAGGTTTCAACATATGCAAATCAATAAATGTGATTCACCTCATAAAATTAAAAACAAACACCATATGATCATCTCAATAGATGCAGAAAGGCTTTCAATACAATTCAACACCCTTTCATGTTAAAAACCCTCAACAAATTAGGCACTGAAAAATTAGGAACATACCTCAAAATAGTAAGAGCCATCTGACAAACCCACAGCCAACATCGTACTGAAAAGGGAAATGCTGGAAGCATTCCCCTTGAGAACTGGAACAAGAGACTAGGATGACCATTCTCACCACCCCTATTCAACAGAGTACTGAAAGTCCCTGCCAGAGTAATCAGGCAAGATAAAGAAATAAAAGGCATCCAAATAAGAAGAGAGGAAGATAAACAATCTTTACTGACGATAATGATTCTATACACAGAAAACCCCATAGACTCCGCCAAAACGTGCCTGGAACTGATGAACAACTTTGTTAATCAGTTTCAGGATACAAAATCAATGTATAAAAACCAGTAGCATTTCTATACATCAAAAACATCCAAGCTGAGAGCCAAATCAAGAACTGCATTTACAATAGCCACAAAAAGAATATCAAGGAATACAGCTAACCAGGGAGGTGAAAGATCTCTACAACTACAAAGCACTGCTGAAAGAAATCAGAGGTGATGCAAACAAATGGAAAAACATTCCATGCTCATGGATAGAAGAATCAATATTGTTAAAATCTCCATACTGCCCAAAGTAGTTTACAGATTCAATGCTCTTCTTATCAAACTACCAATGTCATTTTTCACAGCATTAGAAAAGAACTTTTCTAAAATTCATATGAAATTGAAAAAGAGCCCGAATAGCCAAAGCATCCTAAGCAAAAAGAACAAAGCCAGAAGCGTCACACTACCAAACTTCAAGGTACATTATAAGGCTTACAGTAACCAAAACAGCATGGTACTGGTACCAAAACAGACATATAAACCAATGGAACAGGATGGAGGAGCCAGAAATAAAGCTGTACTCCTGCAACCATCTGATCTTGAACAAAGTCAACAATAACAAGCAATGGAGAAGAGACTGCCTATTTGATAAATGGTGCTAAGATAACTGGCTAGCCATATGCAGAAGACTGAAACTGGACCCCTTTCACCATACACAAAAATTAACTCAAGATGGATTAAAGATTTAAATATAAGACCTCACACTATAAAAACCCTAGAAGAAAACCTAGGAAATACCATTCTGGACACTGTCCTTGGGAAATAATTTATGACCAAGTCCCCAAAAGCAACTGCAACCAAAACAATGATTGACAAGTGGGACCAAAATAAACTAAAGAGCTTCTGCACAGCAAAATAAACTATCAACAGAATAAACAGACAACCTATAGAATGAGAGAAAATACAAACTATGCATCCAACAAAGGTCTAATATCCAGACTCTATAAGGCATTTAATTCAACAATCAAAAAACAACCCCATTAAAAATGGGCAAAGGACATGAACAGACACTTCTCAAAAAACAAACGTGCAGCCAACAAATATATGAAAAAATGCTCATCATCACTATTAATGTAAATCAAACCACAAGATACTGTCTCACACCAGTCAGAATGGCCATTAATAAAAAGTTAAAAGATAATAGATGTCAGCAAGGTTGTGGAGAAAAAGGAATGTTCAAACATTGCTGGTGGGAGTGTAAATTAGTTCAGCCACCGTGGAAAGCAGTGTGTAGATTTCTCAAAGAACTTAAAACAACCACCATTCGACCCAGCAATCCCACTACTTTGGGTATGTACAAAAAAAGACAAGCACTTGTATGTTAATCACAGCACTATTCACAATAGCAAAGACATGTAATCAACCTAGATGTCCATCAACAGTGAACTGGATAAAGAAAATGTGGTACATATACACCATGGAATACTATGCGACCATAAAATTAAGGAAGGAAATCAGGTCCTTTGCAGCAACATGGATGCAGCTGGAGGCCTTTATCCTAAGCCAATTAATGCAGGAAGAGAAAATCAAATACCACATATTCTCACTCATAAGCAGGAGCTAAACACTGGGTAAACATGGACATAAAGATGGCAACAATAGACACTGGGGACTACTAGAGTGGAAAGGGTGAGGGGGAATGTGAAATGAAAAACTCTATGCTCACTACCTGGGAGATAAGATCATTCATACACCAAACCTCAGCAATATGTAATTTACACATGGAACAAACCTGCACATGTAACCCCTGAACCTAGTACGTACATAAATTAATAAAAATATTATAATAAAAGTGAGCAAACAACCCCCCGTACATGGTATACAATGTGCTTCCTCAAAAGAAAAAAATAAATAAATAAATGTTCCTGTGACATAAACGGGTAGTTTAGTATTATTTTGAAAGTTTTTTTTCCTCAGGAAACTATTTTTTTTTGGGGGCCAAGTCTCGCTCTGTCGCCCAGGCTAGCGTGCAGTGGTGCAATCTCGGCTCACTGCAACCTCTGCCTCCCGGGTTCACGACATTCTCCTGCCTCAGCCTCCCAAGTAGCTGGGACTATAGGTGCATGCTACCACGCCCGGCTAATTTTTTTGTATTTTTAGTAGAGATGGGGTTTCACAGTGTTAGCCAGGACGGTCTTGATCACCTGACCTCATGATCCGCCCACCTCAGCCTCCCGAAGTGCTGGGATTACAGGAGTGAGCCACCGTGCCCAGCCAGGGAACTATTTTACTTTATTTTCATCTGAGTTTGTAATTCTTTTCCCAGTGTCTGTTCCACCCATTTACTTTGCAAAAGAAAACAAAAGCCTAAACTATTCATTACATTCACATTCTTTTAGTAAGCCACTATTCAAAAGGTCATAGAGGAATTTTAACAATTAAAACATCTGAATCAAGAATGACTGACGTAACTTAGGTTCCCTAAAACGGTCATATTTGATATATACCACAAATGCTGGAAACTTTGTGACTGAAAATAGAAATATCTAATGAGTTTGAGTGGTAATCACTTCTGAATTAAACAGACTTTCAACACTTGCTCAAGGAAACTTCACAAATCTAAAACGAATTCTGATAATAGTTTTTATTAGATTTCTAGTTCTTATATATTTATGTTTACATCATACCTGAAATGAACACATCAAAGTTTCATCCACACTCATCATTCCACCAGCATTATCAAACTCGCCACAGTAATTTGGGGCTGAAAATAAGGTTACCAACTGTCGTTTAGCAAAAAATTCATATCCATCTTCCACCACCTGTCAAAGGAAATGTCAGAAGAAAAAACATTTATTGGTGGGTAATTCTGAACCATCTATACTAATTAAGGTTAAGGTGGCAAAGACTGTGCCCCACCTCACCCCCAAACCACCCTGTTTTGTTTTGGAAGTTGTGATTTTTATTCTTAAACTTTGCTTAGAACATTAAAACTGGTGTGCCTTTTCTATAATGGAAACAATTTAGCTTAATTGGAATAATAAATTCACCACTCCTGAAAGCTTAAAAATCATGCCATTTGCAAGGCTCCCCATGAAACAAAACATACTAATAGGCATCATGACTACAGGGAGCTGGGACACTAAGTACTTTTTTTGTTTTTAAGTTTTAAATTTAATTTTATTTTAATTAATCTACGTGTTTTTCAGAGGGACATCAATTATTACTTTGATGAGGGCATTATAATCCAACTACAGAATCCTTAATTAAATGAGCAACAACCAGACAATGAACGACTTTGCGAAGAGCTTACTTCTTGCTTTGATTTTAAAATATGTATTATTATTACATGGCTACACACTGAAAACACTACTGGCTACACACTGAAAACATTACTAAGTTGAGTTTAATTTACATGGATCATGCTCCTTAAATTAACTGCCAACAGACTGTATTTTTATTTTTATTTTTTATTTTTTGAGATGGAATATTGCTCTGTCAACCCAGGCTGGAGTGCAGTGGCATGATCTCGGCTCACTACAACCTCTGCCTCCCAGATCAAGCCATTCTCCTGCCTCAGCCTCCCAAATAGCTGGGACTACACGCACCCACCAGCAAGCCCGATGAATTTTTGTATTTTTAGTAGAGATGAGGTTTTGTCATGTTGGCCAGGCTGATCTCAAACTCCTGACCTCAGGTCATCTGCCCGCCTCGGCCTCCCAAAGTGCTGGGATTACAGGCGTGAGCCACCGTGCCTGGCCTTGATGAGTTAACATTTCTAGAACCAGTTGTCAATTTCTGAGTAATTTAAACAATTTTTCTCTCAGTCTACAAATTTGAGGAACACAATAATATGTAAATATTTTATATTTATTTACGGTGGGCAAGATTACTTTTAAATTTATTTTAGGTATCTTTTAATTAGCAAAATTATCCGACACCACTTGCTAATATAAAAAAGCAATTACGAAGGCATTTACTTATTAAAATAACTCCTACCTCAGTACTAGGAACATGCTTCTGCTGAAATTACCTTATGGTACAATTTAGATGAACCTTTTCTCCTAAGACCATAGCCACCTTATCTAATCCCTGTGACCCCTGCTCCACATAGCAAATGGCACTCATGTTTTTAGTTGTTTCTCTGTGTATGTGCTTGTGTGGAGACAGGGTCTCGCTCTGCTGCCTAGGCTGGAGTGTAGTGGTGCAATCTTGGCTTACTGCAGTCACAACTTCCTGGGGCTCAAGAGATCTTCCCACCTCAGCCTCCTGAGTAGCTGAGACCACAGGTGTGTGCCACCATGCCTGGCTAATTTTTTTGTATTTCTTTTCTTTTTTTTTTTCGAGATGGAGTTTTGCTCTTGTTGCCCAGGCTGGAGTGCAACGGCGCGATCTCGGCTCACGGCAACCTCTGCCTCCCAGGTTCAAGCGATTCTCCTGCCTCAGCCTCCCATGTAGCTGGGATTACAGGCATGTGCCACCGTGCCCAGCTAATTTTATATTTTTAGTAGAGATGGGGTTTCTCCATGTTTTTCAGGCTGGCCTCGAACTCCTGACCTCAGGTGATCCACTCGCCTCAGCCTCCCAAAATGCTGGGACTTCAGGCGTGAGCCACGGTGCCCAGCCAGTTTTTTGTATTTTTTTGTAGAGACAGGGTTTCGTGTTTCACTGTGTTGCCCAGGCTGGTCATGGACTCCATGTTTTTAGTTCTTGGTTTTTTAGTTTGCTTACTTGTTCATTCTTTCAAATTTTCTTTTTTAAAGGGAATATTTCTAGAATTTTAGAGACAATTATTTGAAAATAAGCACAATAGAAGGATTTTGGCAGTTTCTGGAAAACAAAAGACCATGCAAACTAGCGTAGTTCAGAAACCTGATTTTTAAAAATCATCATTTATTTTTGAAAAGACCAGTGAATGAAGATCTATGGCTGAAAAAAACTGATTATCAGGGGTCATTTTAGTTAGGAAACTTAGCAATTCTGCCTTGTTATTTAATAGAAGGCATATTTATCAAAATCATAAACACAGTTTTACTGATTTAAAAAACTATTTGTCAGGCCGGGCGAGGTGGCTCGTGCCTATAATCCCAGCACTTTGGGAGGCCGAGGCGGGCAGATCACGAGGTCAGGAGTTCGAGACCAGCCAGGCCAACATAGTGAAACCCCGTCTCTACTAAAAATACAAAAACTAGCCAGGCTAGTGGCATACACCTGTAGTCCCAGCTACTCGGGAGGCTAAGGCAGGAGAATCACTTGAACCCGGGAGGTGGAGGTTGCAGCGAGCCGAGATGGTGCCACTGCACACCAGCCCGGGAAACAGTGTGAGACTCTGTCTCACAAAAAAAACAAACAACAACAACAAAAAACTACTTTGCCAAAATCAAAGGATGTGGGAACATGACCTCATTTCAATGGAACCACCAAGAAATCCTGCTAAATAAAAGTGGCATGTAATATACAATAAGCAAAGAATAAAAAGCCAGTCATTTTTATCACTTAGGATCAAAGAAAGAGGCAGCAGTAGTAAGTGTCATGGGGAGTAAAGCTCCAGAAAGAAAGGGAAGTACTGTGGGACAGCATATACTTAATTAAATACGCTTTTATTAATTTATTCAACACTGTATGTGCATGATACACTATGCTACAATGTCAGCAACTATATAAAGCAACAGAGATTCAAAAACAAGTTGTAATCCCTTCCTTAGAGTACACAATCTAGTTAGTGGTGGCGGACATAAAAGACAACCAAAAACCCTGAACTGTATAAATGTTTTTATAATGAAAAATTTCAAATATACACAAAAGTAGATAAAGACGACTTGAATTAACTCCCATTAACTCATCAGCCTAATTCAATACTTTTCATGATTTTGCTACATTTGTTTATCTTCTCCCTCTCCTTTTCTCTTTGCTGATATTATTTTAAAGCAAATCCCAGGCATGTCATTTTACCTCTACACACTCAAGTATGCATTCCTGGAAAAACACAGACATTCTTCTTACATAACAATTAATGATTATGAAACAGCTAAAATAATTGATACCGGCCAGGAGCAGTGGCTCACACCTGTAATCCCAGCACTTTGGGAGGCTGAGGTGGGCAGATCACCTGGGGTCAGGAGTTTGAGATCAGCCTGGCCAGTATAGTGAAACCCCGTCTCTACTAAAAATACAAAAATTAGCCAGGCGTGGTGGCAGGCGCCTGTAGTCCCAGCTACTCGGGAGGCTGAGGCAGGAGAATCACTTGAACCTGGGAGGCGGAAGTTGCAGTGAGCCGAGATCATGCCACTGCACTCCAGCCTAGGTGACAGAGTGAGACTCGGCCTCAAACAAAAACAAAAAATTAAAAGATTAAATAATTCATACCTATTACCAAGTCTACAATCAAATGTTCTCTTTTTTTGAGACTGAGTTTCACACCCATTGCACAGGCAGGAGTGAAATGGTACGATCTACACTCACTGCAACCTCTGCCTCCTGAGCTCAAGCGACTTTCCTGCCACAGCCTCCCAAGCAAGCTGGGACTACAGGTGCACACCACCACATCTGGCTGTTTTGTATCTTCTGTGGAGACAGAGTTTTGTCATGTTGCCCAGCCTGGTCTCCAGCTCCTGGGGCTCAAAGGATCTGCCTGCCTCAGCCTCCCAAAGTGCTGGAATTACAGACATGAGCCACTGCACTGAGCCACAATCAAATTCTTCAATGGTCTCAAAAATACTTTTTTAAAGTGTGGTTTGCTCTTATCAAAATCGCCATTATGCACAAAGATTATATAAAAATGAGGCTGGGCACAGTGGTTCACGCTCACGCCTGTCATCTCAGCACTTTGGGAGGCTGAGGCGCAGATCACTTGAGCTCAGGAGTTCAAGGGCAGCCTGGCCAACATGGTGAAACCCTGTCTCTACTAAAAATACAAAAATGAGCCAGGCGTGGTGGTGCGTGCCTGTAATCCCAGCTGCTCCGGAGGCTGAGGCAGAAGAATCGCTTGAGCCTGGGAGGCGGAGGTTACAGTGAGCAGAGATTGTGCCACTGCACTCCAGCCTGGGTGACAGAGTGAGACTCCATCTCAAAAAAAAAAAAAAAAAAAAAAATCTAAATCATATCTACAAAGCTTCAAAGAAGCACTGAAAATTTTGTTAGGTTTGCTGTATACTACAAAAATACATTCTTTTTTTTGAGACTGGGTCTAGCTCTTTCACAAGGGCTGGAGAGCAGTGACATAAACATGGCTCACTGCAGCCTTGATCTCCTAGGCTCAAGCGATCCTCCCACCTCAGCCTCCCACGTAGCTGGGACCACAGGCACGCACCACCACACCCAGCTAAATTTTTGATTTTTTTTGTAGAGATGGAATCTCATTTTGTTGCCCAGGCTGGTCTCAAACTCCTGTACTTAAGCAATCCACCCATCTCAGCTTGCCAAAGTGCTGGGATTATAGATGTGAGCCACCATGCCCAGCCCCAAAATATTTCTAAACATTTCCTCTTTTAGGGTGATAAAAGGTTAACAAATCACTAGATTGTTAAGTGTGAGATCCAGGAACTGGCTCTGCCACCTCTCCTACTGCTTTCCTTGTACAACTCATTTAGCTTTCTTGGATATGTTTCCTCAAAACAAAATGAGAGGGCTTATGTGAAGTTAACAAATAATAAATGTTTAAGAGTCCAGGTGTGGTGGCACACGGCTATCGTCCCAGCTACTTGGGAGGCTGAGGCACAAGAACTGCCTGAACCCGGGAGGCACAGGTTGCAGTGAGCAGAGATTGCGCCATTGCACTCCAGCCTGGGTGACAGAACAAGAATCTGTCTGCCCCTCCGTCTGCCCCCAAAAAAAAGAAAGAAAAAAGAAAAAGCTTAAGAGTTTTATATTTCATACCTGATGAGCTCGACAAATCAAATCTAAATCATGACGATTCAGAAATTTACTGACTACATCAGCTCCAAAAGTAAAGGAAACACCACGATCATTTTCTCCCCAGCCTTGCACATCCTTATCTGGATCAGACCATAGCAAATCACAGAGCAAACCTTTAAAGGACAGAAATACAGCAATTAAGAACAAAATTTACAGATTTATAGAATATAGCACATCTACATCAAATTTCAGTTCCTTTCTTGCCCTCTTACCTTTTACTAAACAATGACCATCACTTGCCTAAGTATTCCAGCCTATGTAACTTATACTTTTGTTAAAGCAACCATACAAACCATACAAATATAATCTTCCATGGCCTCTTAAGGTAGTACTTTCCAACCCTTTCCACATATAGGAAATATGTGCATGGCACTTACAGCACAACAATACATGGAAAAGGCTGTTCATCTTTTGGGTAGTTTCTCCATATGAATAACCAAACAACCCAGTGGTATTTCCTCAACAGTTCATCCTTTCCTTACGGTTCCACTGTTTCTGAGCACCACAGTCTATTCTGTTAGTCTATTTTACTTATCCCTGAGCCAATAACAGACTAGAGCTTTTTAATAAGTCTTTATATTTGGTAGGGCTAGTATCCTCCATTTTTTTTTCAGGATTGTCTTGGTTACTTTTTGATCTTTTGTTCTTCCACATAAACATTAAAAACAATTGCCTAATTCCATAAAAAACTCAATTGTGATTTCACTGGAATTGTATTTGATCTACAGATCACTTGAGCGAAAAAAAAACATTTTCTACTGAGACCCTGAGGATTTTTTTTTAAATGTGGAAGAACAAAATCAGATCAGATCCTTGACTTTGGTAATGTTTGGAGCCCTGGAAAAGAGGTCAGGGTTAAAAATATTTACTTGAGTATTGTCATCATATTAATGGTAGTGGAAATCTTAAGAGGGACTCAGACCACCTTAGGAATACAAAGTGAGAAGACCAGCAAATGAATTCTGAGGAATTCAAACATTTAATAGGCAGGTAGATGAGGGAGAATGAACATTAGGTATTGAGAAGGAATGATCAAGACAAAGGGCTTAGTATAGTAAACGTATCCCGAAAGGGGAAACAATCGTCCTAAAGTAGGAAATGTGCCATGAACAAGGGCAGTAGGACGAAGACCAAAAATGTGCCACTTACAATTAAATCATCAGACCTCAATGCAAGTTTCTTGGTGATTGAGGGTAACGGAGTGGGTAAAAGTCCAACTGTAGTGATATTAAAAGAAGGGTGGATGTTGAGATGGTGATGGTGATTTTCTAAGAATTGCAGTGGCTAAGAGAAGATACATATATATTTTTTTGAGACGGAGTCTCGCTCTGTTGCCCAGGCTGGGATGCAGTGGTGCAATCTCTGCTCACTGCAAACTCTGCCTCCCGGGTTCACGCCATTCTCCTGCCTCAGCCTCCCGAGTAGCTGGGACTACAGGTGCCCGCTACCACGCCCGGCTAATTTTTTGTATTTTTAGTAGAGATGGGGTTTCACTGTGTTAGCCAGGATGGTCTCGATCTCCTAACCTCGTGATCCGCCCGCTTCGGCCTCCCAGAGTGCTGGGATTACAAGTGTGAGCCACCGCGCCCAGCCAAGAAGATAATTTTTAAAGAGTTAAGTCAGTTTTAAGAATTTTAAATAATCCATAAACATCATAGTATGGTTTAGGAGGAAAGGGCATCTTCATTTTCAGTTACAGTACATCATATCTTGATAGAGGCATTATAAAACCATTTGTAGAATTAGTGGCAATGTATTCAATCTCTATCATTGATATATCCCAAGCTCCCTGTATGTTGTTTTAAGAAATTCACTAGCACACAAAATCCACTGGAATAGTCAGTCTCAATTCTTAAGCCCTTTCTGGTTGAAGCTGACTCTTCGAAAATATACACCCACCCAGTGCTTAATAATGCTTTCATACTTTCCAGCCTCTTTCCAGTAGAAAGCTAAGGTATTAAGAATCTATAATTTCTTTTTTTTTTTTTTTTTTTTTGAGACGGAGTCTCGCTCTGTTACCCAGGCTGGAGTGCAGTGGCACGATCTCGGCTCACTGCAAGCTCCACCTCCCGGGTTCATGCCATTCTCCTGCCTCAGCCTCCCGAGTAGCTGGGACTACAGGCGCCCACTGCCACACCCAGCGAATTTTTAGTAGAGATGGGGTTTCACCGTGTTAGCCAGGATGGTCTCGATCTCAAGAATCTATAATTTCAGTGAGACAATAAAACTGTATAAAATTAGAATAGAGTTTGAGGTTTAGGAAACATGACACTCTGGATGCATTAAAAAAATCAAATAATGGTAGCAACAACAATCTGGAATTCTTTAACCTTAACAGGGTCTAGATAAGAATTTCAGGCCAGGTATGGTGGCTCACGCCTGTAATCCCAGCACTTTGGGAGGCCGAGGTGGGCGGATCACCAGAGGTCAGGAGTTCAAGACCAGCCTGGCCAACATGGTGAAACCCTGTCTCTATTAAACATACAAAAATTAGCTGGGCACAGTGGCAGGAACCTGTTATTCTAGCTACTTGGGAGGCTGAAGCAAGAGAACTGCTTGAACCTGGGAGGTGGAGGTTGCAGTGAGCCGAGATCAGGCCATTGCACTCCAGCCTGGGCGACAAGAGTGAAATTCTGTCTCAAAAAGAATTTCAGAGTCAAGATTTATTGTTTAATGAGCTAGCATCACAATCAACTAGGCTGCTTCAAATAATGTATTAACTTATAAATTAAATTTCTGAATGTTGCAGACACTATCAAAGATCAAAATAACTGTTTTCAGCATCTTGAAAACTTCTCATTAAAATACGCTAAAATAAATAAAACATGCTAAAAACAGAAGCCTAGCATATCACACTAGATCAGTTTACATCTGAACTATAAACAGATATTCTGAAGAATGACCAGTAATACATATTTATATTATACCTTATTTTAAAAATAGCACTTTGGGTGTTTTTTGAAAGAGAGGGTCTCACTGTGTCACCCAGGCTAGAATGCAGGAGCACAATCACAGGTCACCGCAGCCTCAACTTCCCAGGCTGAAGTGATCCTCCTGCCTCAGCCTCCTGAGTAGCCGCGGTGCTGCGACATGTGGCTAATTAAAAAAAAAAATTTTTTTTTTCTCTGTAGAGATGGGTGTTATGTTGCCCAGGCTGGTCTCGACTCCTCACCTCAAGTGATCTTCCTGCCTTGGCCTCCCAAACTGTTGGAATTACAAGCATGAACTAGTGCACCAGGCCTAAAAACAGCATTTTAAATAAAATACTATTTAAATACCAGTTTGTTAGGTTTAGTCAAATGTATTCTATAATTACAATCAAAAACTGTGATAAAATGCATACTTTAAAAAATAATCAACACAACAAGTCGTGTTATGTAAAAAAGCTCATAACACAGGCCAGGTGTGGTGGCTCACGCCTGTAATCCCAGCACTTTGGGAGGCCAAGGTGGGTGGATCACAAGATCAAGAGATCGAGACCATCCTGGCCAACATGGTGAAACCCCATCTCTACTAAAAATACAAAAAATTGGCCGGGTGTGGTGGCGGGCGCCTGTAGTCCCAGCTACTCGGGAGGCTGAGGCAGAAGAATCACTTGAACCCGGGATGCAGAGCTTGCAGTGAGCCGAGGTTGCACCACTGCCCCCCAGCCTGGTGACAGGGCAAGACTCTGTCTCAAAAAAAAAAAAAAAAAAAAAAAAAAAAGCTCCTAACACAATTTATTACAACATACAGTGTATTACATGGCTACTGACATCAGAGGATCTATACCATTTATAATGGTTGATGTGTAGTTCTGAGCAGCATTTTTTGTGGTGATTGTTGTTTCTTTTTTCTTTTTTTTTTTTTTTTTGAGACAGTTTCACTCTGTCACCCAGGCTGGAGTGCAGTGGTGTGATCTCGGCTCACTGCAACCTCTGTCTCCCAGGTTCAAGCAATTCTCGTGCCTCAGCCTCTTGAGTAGCTAGGATTACAGGAACGCACCACCATGCCCAGCTAATTTTTGTTATTTTTAGTAGAGATGGGGTTTCATCACGTTGGCCAGGCTGGTCTGGAACTCCCGACCTCAAGTGATCCTGCCCACCTCAGCCTCCCAAAGCGCTGGGACTACAGGCGTGAGTGCCACTGCTCCCAGCCTTCCCAGAGATTTCCAATGTAATTTTCACAAAACTGACCACAGGTCTCTAGAGCCTTAAGAGCTCTAAAAATTTAAGCCAGGTATGGCACATGCCTGGAGTCCCCTAGCTACTCAGAAGAGGCAGGAGGATTGCTTGAGCCTAGGAATTCAAGGCCAGCCTGGGCAACAGATTGAAATCCCTCCCACACCCCCTTGAAAAAAAGCTCTAAAAATTTCAAATAGAGGACATAGAAAATAACAAAAAACTACTAGACATTTGAAAAGAAGGTAGTTGTATCCTTGCCTAAGAAGCAAAGAATAGATTATTTTAATTAAAAAACTTTTGTCTAATTTAACAAATTTTTGAAGAACATAACCAATGCTAGTATGAATGAGGGAATTTAGAAAAATAGGTATAAGGACTCAACAGCAAAATCTTTTTTGTGATCAAATAACTACATTATGACTATAAATAAAAAGGTTCCGCATTTTGAGGATCAGTGCAAAGTGAAAAATTGTGTATTACTGCAAATAAAGTAATCTGTAGCTGGCTTATTGACTATGAAAAAAGCTCTTTTATTTATTACATAAGCCAATCCTACTTCCACTAAATGTAATCAAGTTCAAATATGAAAACACTTTACACAAAACAATTAAACTTCTCTCTACACTTACCTGTATCAGGGACATCAGTAGGTCTCATAATTCTCCGAATCTGCTCCATAGATTGCAGGTCTGGT
Organism: Homo sapiens; assembly: GCF_000001405.40. Lineage (NCBI taxonomy): Eukaryota > Metazoa > Chordata > Mammalia > Primates > Hominidae > Homo > Homo sapiens. The sequence goes on along the minus strand of NC_000002.12, from coordinate 28,783,913 downwards.
GACAATCCTATAAATAAAAAGATGAGACATAGTACTAACAGCTAAAAATTTTAATATTTTAACAGTCACCGAATAAAAAGCATTTAATCAAAATAGATTCACTATGTGAAATTAAAGATACTGAAAAGTGTTCCTTTTAACGTCTTTTTTTTTTTTCGAGACAGAATCTTACTCTGTCACCCAGGCTGCAGTGCAGTAGCGTGATCTCAGCTCACTGCAACCTCCACCTCCCGGGTTCGAGCGATTCTCCTGCCTCAGTCTCCCGAGTAGCTGGGACTACAGACGCGCGCCACCACATCCAGCTAATTTTTTGTATTTTTAGTAGAGACGGGGTTTCACCATGTTGGCCAGGCTGGTCTCGATCTCTTGACCTCATGATCCAACCACCTTGGCCTCCCAAAGTGCTGAGATTACAGGCGTGGGCCACCGCGCCCTGCCCCTTTTAATGTCTTAAAGGGCAACACAGAGTTATTAGGAATTCCACTTTGATATAATACAGCATTATAATTGTTTTTTTCCATTTTTCCCTACCAGGGAAATGAAATTCCTTTATATTTCAAAAGACTTCCCAAGGAAAAAAAAAACTACCATTCTTTTTTCCAATCATTCCCTGGCCTTCATAGAAACATAATCAACTGCAACCCTTCCTACCACTTTTGCCAGTTCTTACCACTAATCTTAAACATTTTAACTTCTAAGTGAAAGTGCCTCACTTGGTTCCCTAAGACCTTCTTTTCACATCCCACTCCAACATGTTCATTATCTTCATGAAGTCATAAACTATTGATCAGAAGGATTAACAGGAAAAGCTCATAAAAATACTCTGCAATCTTTGAAGTGGTATATAAGCTATTATTTCTCTCTGATAGGCAATCCAAGTATCATCACAAGGAATGAAGCTAAACATTCGTATCCATACTGCTACACTTCTATCCTTAGCTACACTAATGTACAAGAACTACAATTCATTACGTGTTTAATGTCTACTGGAAAACATATTTCAATTAATATAGTGAATTATGTTCTGCCAGAGAATAAACCATTTATTACCTCGGGCCTAGGCAAGTGCATCTATCTTTTCAGCGTTTTTCCACTTTAATTCTTCCCGTATATTGATGAAAAACTAATTTTCTTACACTATTTCCATTAAATTACTTCCCTGTACAAAAACCCAATACGGTTATTAAATCACTCAACAAACTCCGTTGCTCAATAGTCAAATCTCCATAATCTGATTCCATCATTTCCCAGCATGTACTTGACCTTCTAGTCAGGCCAGTTCTTACACATTCCCTAAACTAGACAACAAAGAGTGTCTCAAGTCCTTTTAACTTCTCCAAAGCCTATTTATCCTCTAAAACCCATGCCTCCATACACACATGTACCCAGTCTTTCCTCCTCCTGACTTCTCATAGTGTCTTAATAAGTTCTGACATATTAAATACCTTTTATTACTCAATTATCTGTTTCATAAATGTATCTTAGCAACAGGTTTTTAACTCTTCAAGATGGTCAGATCATACACTATCTACTAGCTAGGTGTTAGACATATACATTAATTTTTCAAATAAACTTTCAAAAAACTTCAAGCTTATTTCATAAGCCATACAGAGTAACCTACCAATCTGCCAAAGATTATTTTATTATTTTATTGTTAATACTAAAGCAAATATATTATATGAAGCCTAGAATTCTTGATATATGTGAATATGAAACTCAATTTTATTTGGATTCTGATGAAAGATTTCAATATAGGCAGGAAGATATCCTCTCATTTTTACTAATAAATAGCAGGGGTGTCTTTCTGTTAAAACTTGAGGCAAAGGAGACTTTCTCAAACAACTCTAGTTACACTCCTTATATGTGAAACTGTATTTAAAGAAGCATTACGTTTTCATTTATAAATAAATTTCTAATTTTTAAAAGAGGTTTAGCCATGTTTAAAACAGTTTTAATCACTTGAGTTTTCATACAAGCACTGCTTTGTTTTCCCACAGCCTCTTGATTATTATAGGTATTTTCCGAATAATAGAAGAAAAAAAAAATCTGTAAGGCAAATTTACTAGTCTACCTCCATGACAACAGAAGATCTTCTCATCCACAATGGCTGCTATAGGCAGACAGTTAAAACAATCAGTGAAGGTCTTCCACAATTTAATATTAAATCTTCGTTTGCCTGTAAAAAGAACAGATAGAATAAATTAAAAAATCTAAAACTGTTCTCATCAGTTATCTCAAAGCCGCAGGATTATGAATGATTTCAATTTTCTTCATTTCTTCATGTTTATCTATAAAGAAGAACTTTTTCTACAATGCAAAGATGTTATTTACGTACTTTCAAAAAGGCAACAACTACAATAAACATTCAATACCTTCAGTAAAGTTACCAAGACTTCAAAGATTGTGCTGGGGGTAGGGGTGGGATGGGAAGATGTTGGTCAAAGAATACAAAGTATCAGTTGGGTAGTAGGAATAAATACAGAAGATCGATTGTATAACAGTGACTACAGTTAACACTATATTGTATCTTTGTAAAATGCTAAGAGTAAATTTTAAGTGTTGTTTTCTCCCAAAATGCTAACTTTTTGAGGTAATGCATATGTTAAATCAGCGGGATTTAACCATTCTGCAATGTATATATACTTCAAAACATCATGTTGTACATCATAAATACATAGAATTTCTGACAAATAAAATAAACCTAATCAAATTTAACACTTAAAAAATCCCAAAGATTGTGCTAGGTGTTTTATGAAATACATCAAACAATTTTTGTCTTTTAAGATCAGTATAATATAGCAATTTTTAAACAGTCTAATAGGCTCTTAGTTCATTTTTTTCCGTTCAGTGTGTGGACTAGTTAAATACCTAGCCAAATAAGCAAGCAGAAGTGAAAAGGTGCCTCTGGAAACTGTCCATTTTAACACTAATGCATTGATTAACACAGTATAAACTTATTGCCAAGGAAGGAAAATTTCCAAGTGTTTAACTAGTATTCTTTTGTGTGAATTACAACTTGGCACTATAGCAAGTATAAATAGAGGCACAAAGGCTATAATTTTCCTGTAGCCTAGCATAAAAAGCTACGACAAAGACAACCTCAAGTGTATGTTCACCTTTTTAGAGTTACTCGATTTTCCTGAATTTGGTAATAAGGTACAACTACTAAGCTAGGGAAGGGATGAAAGACACAAGTACTAACTTCCTGTGCTTTTATGCCACAACCTGCCCCTTAATGAGTAAGTACATAACTCAAAGCACTGTTTACAAGTTGCTCTCCCATACATTATTTCATTTGATGTCATTTCTATCCCCAAAGACATTCTTGCCTATCTTTTATCCTTTAAAAATATACCTCCATTTCTGATGTAGCTTTAGGAAGAATGTTGTAGTTTGATGTACTCCAACCCACTTTCTCTCTGCTAGTCTGATTTAAATAATTCAAACCACACACTACATCTCAGAAATAAAAATACAATACAAAATCAAATACAGAATCATTTCTATTAGAATGTAAGCTCATGGCTGGGCGCCGTGGCTCACACCTGTAATCCCAGCACTCTGGGAGGCCGAGGCGGGTGGATCACCTGAGGTTGGGAGTTCAAGACCAGCCTGATCAACACAGAGAAACCCCATCTCTACTACTAAATATACAAAATTAGCCAGGGAACGTGGTACATGCCTGTAATCCCAGCTAATCGGGAGGCTGAGGCAGGAGAATCGCTTGAACCCGGGAGGCGGAGGTTGCAGTGAGCTGAGATCGTGCCATTGCACTCCAGCCTGGGCAAGAAGAGCGAGACTCCGTCTCAAAAAAAAAAAAAAAAAAAAAGAAAGAAAAGAAAAGAAAAAAGAAAAAAGAAAGGCTATTTTCATTAAGCATTGGAAGCCTGATACAGCCTTTTTTCACTACAAGGACATACAGTCCCAGCTAGGCTGATGACCTGCTATTTGGCTGGACAGGGAAGGCCAATCAATGCTGGAGAAACACTTGGGAAAAAAAATGTAAGCTCCATGAGAACAGAGATCATCTGTATTGTGTATTGCTTCACGCACTGTGTTCACAATAGTGCCTGCACATATAACATACCCTCAAACTTTGTCAAATCATTATATAAATCAAGGAGATATGAGTTTGAATAGGTCTCTAACATAATTAAGGATTGAAAAAAAGCAAAAGTAGATTCTAATAGGGAAGACAGCAATAAAAAATTCAATTTGAAGATTATAATTGATTCTAAGTAGTAATTAACCAAATAAATACTTACTCCCGTATTCTAATAAAACCAAAAGACCATATTTGAACCTAGTAGGGTATTTTAATAATAACACTTGGAAACATACAATACCAAATCGTTGATTTCCTACTAATGAAAAAGAGAGTAAAATAAGGATACCCCAGAGTATTCAGTATCTTTATCTTTCAAGGTTTACAGACATAGATTTAAATTCTAATAATATTAAACTTTGACTTTTAAATAGTTTCACAGAACTTCTCAATAATTCTTGTGACACAGGACTAATAAAAGCTGTCATACCACAAGAATGCCGAGAGTTAAAACCTTAATGGACACTAGAAAACCAAGGGCCACTGCCTACAGTGACTTCTGTTTCACCTGGATAGTTTACTAGATAAACTAATTTTAAAAGAGCCTCTTCAGCCAAGTAAGCTGCAGTCAATCTGAAATATGACCAAGGAGATCTCAAGGAACCAATTTAATTAGTAACATGTTTCCCAGTTTCAGGTTCCTCTTCCTGGCCTATGCCTGACAGATCTTATTTTGAAAAAACTCTGAATCAAAGCAACTCTTCTGAACCAGAAAATTATTAGGCAATGTTTCCATGAATTACTTTTCTAAGTCTTTATTTTCACTTACATTCATCATAGAATCCATAAATGCGATTGATGCTAGCACACTCATGGTTTCCTCTTAAGAGAAAGAAGTTCTCTGGATATTTGATTTTATAAGCCAATAGCAAACAAATGGTTTCCAAAGACTGCTTTCCTCTGTCCACATAATCTCCTAAGAAAAGATAGTTGGCTTCTGGTGGGAAACCTCCATATTCAAATAATCTCAGTAAATCTGTATATTGTCCATGAATATCTCCTAAAAAGAGAAAGAGTCAGTTTTAGAAAAATTGGTTACTGTTATAAGCAGCTTCTATGAAATGATTCCCAATGTTCACATCCTGTGTAATCCTCCCCTACCCTTGAGTATGGGCTATATTTGGTGACTTACTTCTAATAAGCGAAAGTGAGATGGGCTGTCACTTCCAAGATTAAGTTACAAAAGACTGTGACTTTCATCTTGCTTGCACTCTCTCACCTTCTTCCATGCTCGCTGATGAAACCAGCTGTCTAATGAAGCATCCCACGTAGCAAAGAACTGAGGGAGGCCTCTGACCAACAGCTCATTTGGAACTGAGGCTCTTAGTCCATCAGTCTATAAGGAACTGAATCCTTTCACAGTTCAACCTTCAGATGACTGCAGCCCGAGATCACGCCTTAATTGGAGCCTTGTGAGAGACCCAGAGCCAGAGGACCCACTAAGCTGTTCCTGAATTCCTGACCCACAGAAATTGTGAGATGGTAAATTAATGTTGCTGTAAGCCACAAAGTTTTGGAATGATTTATTATACAACAATAGGTAACTAAAACAATTTTATTATCTGGTAGTTTAACTTACGTCACTTTTTAACACCAAATATGGAGACAAATAGTAAACCTTTAGAAATATGTAGTACAAATAACTTCCATTACCTTCAAGTTATTTCTATATTACATTTTAAAGAACACCTTCAAAGAATACTTTAATTCTAATAATTTTAAGATCACCTCTAAGTAACTACATTTGCTTAAGTTTATACAGGGGATTGATTAGTTCCCCCAAATTCTGAACTACTACCTCTTACTTGAAGGTGTGATATTCTAAGTTAACTGATCCATTCAACAAACATTTATTGGCCAGCTGCGGTGGCTCATGCCTATAATCCCAGCATTTTGGGAGGCCAAGACAGGTGGATCACCTGAGGTCAGGAATTCAGAACCAGCCTGGCCAACATGGAGAAACCCTGTCTCTACTAAAAATACAAAAAGTCAGCTAGACGTGGTGGCTCACACCTGTAATCCCAGCTACTCAGGAGTCTGAGGCAGGAGAACCACTTGAGCCCGGGAGGTGGAGGTTGCAGTGAGCCAAGATTGTGCCATTGTACTCCAGCCTGGGCAACAAGAGTGAAACTCTGTCTCAAAGAAAAACCAACCAAACAAACAAAAAACAAACATTTACTTAGCGAGTATCTCTTATTTGCTGGGCACTGTACAAAGGACTGTAAAAAAGTCACTGTAAAACTTAAAAGAATACAAGGTATAAAGTAGTATAATCTTCAAAACAAATTTAAATAACATCAAAGTTAGAAGACCACAGATATCGCCATATTGACCCTCTAAATTATACACCTATTTTTTTCTAACCAGTGTACTATGATGCCCTTTTCGTGACATCCTTGACAACACTAAACATCAATCTTTGGTATTTTTTTATAATCTGACTAGAGTTGGAGACTTGCTTTAAATTGCACATCACTGATTACTAAAAAAAGAAGCTGACGTCCTTATGTTTACTGGCCATTTGAATTTCTTCTAAGACCTTCCTCTTCCTATGTTATTTTTATACTGTATCGCCTTTCTCTTATTTATAAGAACTCTTTATATATTATAAATAGAACTCCTTTTATCTGTTGATATATAGCAAGTATTTTCATCTTGTCTGTAACTTGTCATTTTTATAAGTTTCAATTTTTATACACTTTTATTTAGTAAAGCCTACTGATCTGTTTTATACAAAAATTTCAAAAAATGTTTTCTCTAGATCTTAAACATGGGAGGAAAAACATGATTCAAAAGAGTTGTTTCCAACTTTACCCATTTACATACCACAAATTTTCAGCGGTGCTTCCAATTCCAAAAGAATAGGCTGGCTGAGAAAGATCTCCCGAGACTTGATACATAAGCCTCGAACTTCTGCTTCAGTCATCTGCACAATCTTTCCTGGACGACATCCTCGTACTGACAAACGATAAATAAAACAGTCAGTTTTCTAAAATTTACTCATAATAATCTTTCAAAAAGAGTCATGCCCATACTTTAAAAATCAGAAAAGTCACACAGGCAGCAAATTACCCTATTTGGTCCCATGGTTTAAAATAATGTTATTCTATGATCTCTGACTTCTATTTTCATTGTTACTGGTTCCTGATGATGCTCCTCAAGTCTGCTGTTGATGAAATGCAGTCCTGTTTTTTGCTGTCCTGTGACCAACCTGGGGCCTAGTAGCCAAAGAGACTTAAAAGATTTCAGGGCCGGGCACGGTGGCTCATGCCTGTAATCCCAGCACCTTGGGAGGTTGAGGTGGGTGGATCACCTGAGGTCGGGAGTTCAAAACCAGCTTGATCAACATGGAGAAACCCCATCTCTCCAAAAATACAAAATTAGCCAGGTGTGGTGGCGCATGCCTGTAATCCCAGCTAATTGGGAGGCTGAGTTAGGAGAATCGCTTGAACCCGGGGGCAGAGGTTGCAGTGAGCTGAGATCGCCCCATTGCACTCCAGCCTGGGCAACAAGAGCGAGACTCCGTCTCAAATAAAAAAAAAACAAACAAACAGAAAAAAAACAACAACAAAAAAAACACACACAAAAAAACATTTCAGAGCCCGCACCCTTTAAGGTCTGGCCTGCTTATCTCGCATCTAGTAGGATGTCAAAACAGCCTCATTAAGAACAATGTGCTATGAAGAAAGGGAGATTAAATAGTAATTGTCAGTAGGTGATTTAGCTTCACACACTTTCTTGGAATGTTACCAGCAGTCCCCAAAATTTTAGCAACTCCTATCTCTACTTTCTGATCAAAAGAAATACAAAAAAGATATCAGCTATGTATTAAAAATTAACTTATCGTTACATTCCCAATAGATCATTATATTAAAACCTCTAAAGGCTATTTAGATGGAGTGAGGCATCTTTGCATTACTGAGCCATAAGATAATATGGTTTCCAGTAACTTGTGGGATGAAGGGGAACAGAATGTTGCATGGAGAGACAGAAGAGTTCCTTATTTGCCCCACTGAACTCAACTTGTAATCATTTCCTCTCATCACCATCTCCCCTGACTCCCTTTAACCTTAAATTTACAGCTGAGCTCTCATTTAATCTTAAGTGAAAGAGCATTTAAGAAAAGAAAATAGGCTGGGAGCAGTAGCTTGCCCCTGTAATCCCAGCACTTTAGGGGGTCAAAGCGGGAGGACTGCTTGAAGCCAGGAGTTCGAGACCAGCCTGGGCAGCAAAGCAAGGCCCTGTGTCAACAAAAGATGTTTTTAAAAAACAGAATTAGCCTAGCATAGTAGAGAATTGCTTGAGGCCAAGAGGTTGAGGCTGCAGTGAGCTATGATGGCACTAGGGCATTTCAGTCTTGGTGACAGAGCAAGACCCTGTCTCTGCAAAATAAAAATAAAGGCCGGGCACGGTGGCTCACACCTGTAATCCCAGCACATTGGGAGGCCAAGGTGGGTGGATCACTTGAGCTCAGGAGCGCAAGATCGCCCTGGGCAACACGATGAAACCCCATCTCTACCCAAAATACAAAAAATTAGCTGGGCATGATGGTGCATGCTTGTGGTCCCAGCTACTCAAGGCAGAGGTTGAGGTGGAACGTTCACTTGACCCCAGAAGGCAGAGGCTACAGTGAGCTGAGATCGTGCCACTGCACTCCAGCCTGGGTGAGAGTGAGACCCCATCTCCAAAGTAAAATAAAATTCCACATATTTCTTGCTAAAAATTGCTGATTCCTTTGTCAGGTCAATAAGAGGCTTTAAAAAAAAAAAGGCCTCCACATGCAAAAGCTATATATTCCATTAATATATTAATATAAAAGTAAAAAGGAGGCAATAAACAGGAGACACAGACAACATTCAAATGTGCTTTAGCAAATATGCTAGTTTATAAGACTATCCCTGAAATTCAAAACAATGATCAGCAGAACTGCTTTTATTATGGGAACTGATATAGCTTCATTAGTGCTTGTTCTCAAACATCAATTACCTACTTCTGATGCATATTTGGGTTTTTCTAACACCAAAAAGACATCTCAGCTTTAGTTTTAAATGTGGAAGATTTTAGTTTAAGAAAAAAAAAATGTGACCAGGTGCGGTGGCTCATGCCTGTAATCCCAGCACTTTGGGAGGCCGAGGTGGGTGGATCACCTGAGGTCAGGAGTTTGAGACCAGCCTAGCCAACGTGGTGAAACCCTGTCTTTACTAAAAATACAAGAATTAGCCGGGAGTGGTGGCGGGTGCCTGTAATCTCAGCTACTTGGGAGGCTGAGGCAGGAGAACTCCTTGAACCCAGGAGGTGGAGGTTGCAGTGAGCCGAGATCGCACCACAGCACTCCAGCCTGGGAGACAAGAGCGAAATTCTGTCTCAAAAAAAAAGTATTCGCCTTGGAAGAATTAAGGGTCTCAAACTGCTTTCAGATAACAAACACACAGCTAAAAGTACTTACAAACTGTATTAACTCATTCAACAAATGTTTGAGAGTCTACTGTGTATTAGTTGTTTATAGAGAACAGCAATGAACAAGAAGAACAGTACATTATCAAAACTTAGTTGTAACTTGACTACTAAGTCAAAAGACTAATGTGGGTCACTTCAATATGTCAATTTAAAATATTCAAATGACAGTGGTGAATATTTTACCTAGTATTTATTTTATTCCCTCTGTATAATTTTCACTTCTCAAGTAATTGTGTAACATTTTTACAGAACTATAAAGTGCTTCAACTTGTAAGTCAAGCAAATCCACAGAAACTAAAAATTTACCAAAAACACACTGCACAGAAACTTTTTATATTTTCACTAACTGTAGGATGCACATTTCTCCCTTAACTAATATCTCTGAAGTTGTGAGACTCTTGCAATTAAAAGCTTCTTACAATTATAATTGGCAGCCCCCCCCACCAACTTAGTGGCACATAAAAGTGCATTTAATAATCAGTCACATCTTAAGAGTTGATGAATGCAGTTAGAGAAGCTAAAGGTTTTCCCAATGTTTAAAACTCTGACAAGAGTTTTAGAAATTAGAAATAAATTAGCCAAAGGTTGGACAGAATAAGGCAGATGTCCCAGGGCAATCCCAGCTGTCTTCCAATTCAAAAGTCCTGCTCCTTTATGTACTCTCAAGACTTCTGAAAAAAAGGAAGAAATCATCCGGGCAACCTGTTACACAGGGCAACTAGACTGCTATCACAGCATCCATGAGGGATTCCAGTGTTTGGATATCTGAACGCTGCTGGATTATAAAAATATTATAAATCAGCATACTTCATTAGGTGCAAAGCACCTTCACATCAATCATTTCATTTAATCCTTTTCACACCCCAGGAACTGAAAAGAGAAGCTATTCTTTCCACTGTACAATGACAGAGATTCAATAACTCGCATAAGATCACAGTGCCCAGGTTTTATAAGACTGATAGGAGTGAGAAGCAGCAGAGAGGGATTCAGACTTAGTCTTCTAACTTAAAGGCCAGTACTTTTTCCACTTCACCACATAAAATTTTTGGATCAAAAATTTCCTAGAAATTTTCAGCATGTAGTAATTTCAGACCAGATAAAATCCCATGATAGCAAATATCTACCATACTTACTACTGTTTAGAAAATATTTTAACATATTACATACATATAGTATACTAACTTTATGGGTGTAACTCAACGAATTTTAAACTATCTATATACCTGAGTAACCATCATCCAGATCAAGGTACAGAATGCTTCCTGCAACCCTGAAGATTCCCTTGTACCCTAACTAATGACAGTAATGCCTGAGGTTACTATCCTTATTGCTATCAGTATATATTGATTTGATGTATTTGTGAATTAGACTTTTAGATAAAAAGAAACATAAGAATGCTCTTTTGCTCATTATTGCATCTGTGAGATACATCCATATAATTGTGTTTAACAGTCATTTGAAATACAGGCTGAGTATCCCTAATCTGAAATCCAAAATGCTCCAAAACCGAAACCTTTTTTAGTGCTAATATGATGCTCAAAGAAAATGCTCATTGGAGCATTTCAGATTTCAGATTATCAGATTACGGATGCTTAACTGGTAAGTATAATACAAATACTCAAAAATCTGAAAAAAATCCAAATTCCAAACACTTGGGGTCCCAAGCATTTTGGATAAAAAATATTCAACCTGTATTCCATTCTATGAACATATGACAATATCTTTACTACTCTATTTGGATTATTTCCAGTTTGGGGCTATTACAAATGCTATGAATATCCATGGGCATATTTATCTTAGGTATGTATAGAACAAAGCAGTAGAACTGCTCGGGTCAGTTTATTTCATTAAGTAGTAGATACCATCAGTTTCCCAAAGTGGCTATACCAATTCATAATCCTCCTAACACTGTTGGTCCATATCTTTACTGATACTGCAAATTATCAGTATTTTTAATTTTAGTCATTTTGTTGGGTATATGGTGGTATTCGTTGGATTTAATTTGATTTCCCCGAGGACCAAGGTTGTCAAGTACCCTTTTTTTTCTTTTTGAGATGGAGTCTCGCTCCGTCACCCAGGCTGGAGTGTAGTGGCAAGATCATGGCTCACTGCAACCTCCACCTCCCGGGTTCAAGGATTCTCCTGCCTCCTGAGCAGCTGGGATTACAGGTGCACACCACCATGCCCAGCTAATTTTTGTAGAGACAGGGTTTCACCATGTTGCTCAGGCTCATCTCGAACTCCTAACCTCAAATAATCTCCCCGCCTTGGCCTCCCAAAGTGCTGGGATTACAGGCGTGAGCCACTGCACCTGGCCATTGAGTATCTTTTTCATGTGCCTAATAGACCCTTTAGGTTATCTTTTTTTTTTTTTTTGGACAAGTTCGTTTTAAGTCTTTTGTTCATTCTTTAAAACTGGACTTTTTCCATCTCTTCATGCTATCTTTTGATGAACAGAAGTTCTTTAATGAATTTAAATCTTAAAAAATCTTAGTCAATCTTTTTTTGGTTAAGGCCTTTTGCATCTTATTCAAGAAATTCTTGCCTTCTCTAAACATATTTCCTTATGTTTCCTTCCAGATATTTTATTGTTTTAGCCCACTTCATTCTATAACCCATCTCAAATTAATTTTGTGTATGGTTTGATGTAAAGGTCAAGGTTTTTATCTAAGCAGATACCCAGTTGATTCAGCACCATTTATCATAAAGATCATCCTTTTCCCCACTGAACCGCAATGGCAGCTTTGTAGAAAAATCAGGTGACCATACAGGAACAGGTCTGTTTTTAGCCACTATATAGCTCATTACCCCATTTGTCTATTTTTGCATCAATACCACAATGTCTTAATTACTATGGCTTTTTATAAAGTCTCGGTATCTAGTAATATAAACATCCCAATTTTGTTCTTTAGATTTTCCTTTTGAACTTTCAAATGTTTTAAAATTGGCTTGTGTCTAGCCCCTCCACCCCCAAACTTGTGAGGTGTTAAATTGGGAATAAGGCCGAGTACAGTGGCTCATGCCTGTAATCCCAGCACTTTGGGAGGCCGAGGTGGGTGGATCACCTGAGGTCAGGAAGAGACCAGCCTGGCCAACATGGTGAAACTCCGCCTCTACTAAAAATACAAAAATTAGCCAGGCGTGATGGCAGGTGCCTGTAATCCCAGCTACCCAGGAGGCTGAGGCAGGAGAATCGCTTGAACCCAAGAGACAGAGGTGGCAGTGAGCCACGATCGTGCCACTGCACTGCAGCCTGGGCAACAAGAGTGAAACTCTGCCTCAAAAAAAAAAAAAAAGGGTGGGGGGGGGGGAGCAGGGAATAAGTAGGTAAGTCTAGACAGAATTGGTATCTTCACAATTTCAAGTCTTCCAATCCACAAATATGGTATCTCTCCTTTTATTTATTTCTCTCAGCAATGTTATATACTCTAGTATGGCAGTCTTTCACGTTTTTCATTAAATGGATTTTGGCTGACATCTGTGATGTCATTTCTTTCAAATGTACTGAGGGGTGCTTTATGGTATAGCATATGGTATATTTTAGTAAATGTTTCATACATATTTTGAAAAGCATATATATCCTGAAATTATTGAGTGAAGTGTTCTATGTCCGCCAAGTAGGTCAGGGTGGCTGTGTTGTTCAAATCTTTATCCTCGCTGATTTTTTCCTGTTTGTTCTACTAGTTACTGAAAGAGGGGCACTGATCTATGGTTGTGGTTTTGTCTATTTTAACTTTTTATAATAGTTGTCAACCTTTCCTTTTAGTTTTAGACCTATACTATTACATATATAAAAATTTTAGATATTTTTCCATTAAATTTATCCTTTTAGCATTATATAATGCCCTTCTTTACCTCTAGTGTTATTTCTGGTTTTAGAGCTTTTTCCAACATAAATATAGCCAAGTCAGCTTTCATTTGATTAATGTGTGCATGATATCGTCTCCCCCACACCCCCCTCCCCCCCCCCTTTTTTTTACTTCCTCATTTGTGTCCTTAGATTTAAAATACATCCCTTGTAAACAGTATCTATAATAGTTAGGTCTTCTGAGCTTTGCATTAATTTCAATGTTTGCTCCTTTTCTTTTTGAGATGGAGTCTCACTCTGTCACCCAGGCTGGAGTGCAGCGGCATGATCTCAGCTCACTGAAACCTTTGCCTCCCAGATTCAAGCGATTCTCCTGCCTCAGCCTCCTGAGTAGCTGGGATTACAGGCACCCACGCCCAGCCAATTTTTGTATTTTTAGTAGAGATAGGGTTTCACCATGTTGGCCAGGCTGGTCTTGAACTCCTGACCTCAAGTGACCTGTCCGCCTTGGCCTCCCAAAGTGCTGGGATTACAGGTGTGAGCCACGGTGCCCAGCCAATATTTGCTCCTTTTACATTTAATATAATCATCGACGAAGTTGAGTTTAAGTCTACCATTCTGTCATCTGTTCTGTTTGTCCCATCTGTTCTTCATTCCTCTCTCTTTCCCTGCATTTCTTTGGAGTAATCAGTTATTTTTTTACTATTCCATTTTCTCCTCTATTAGCTTTTCGTTATATATTCTTTTTTCATTTAGAGGTTGCTCTAGAGATTACAAATACACTTTTGACTGATTACCACCCGCCTCCAGCCTTTTGTTCTACAGTTGTCGTATTTTTGTTTCCACATATTTTAAATCCCACAAGCCACAACTATTATTTTAAACAGTCAGAATTTGTATTTACTCACATTTATCCTTACCATTGTTCATTTCTTTCTGCAGTTCTTTGCTTTTATCTGTTATTTTCTTGCAACACAAAGAACTTGCTTTAATATTCTCTAGTGTCAGCATATCAGCAATATATTTTCTGAGCTTTAGTTTGTCTTCATTTTACTTTACTATTGAAGGATATTCTAGATTTAGAATTCTAGACCAGCCTGACCAAGATGGAGAAACCCTGCCTCTACTAAAAATACAAAATTAGCCAGGCGTGGTGGCACATGCCTGTAATCCCAGCTACTCGGGAGGCTGAAGCAGGAGAATCGCTTGAACCCGGGAGGCAGAGGTTGCAGTTAGCCAAGATCACGCCATTGCACTCCAAGCCTCGGCCACACGAGCAAAACTCCATCTCAAAATAAATAAAGAATTCTAGGTTGTCATTTTTTTTCTTTCAGTGCTTTAAAGAGAACACCATTCTATTGTCTTCTGTCTTCCACAGTTTCAGGTGATAGATCAGCCATCATTCATATTATTGTTCCCTGAAGATAATGAATTTTTTCTTCTGACAGCATTTAACATTTTCTCTTTCTCTTGGATTTCTAGCAGCTATGTTCAATATGGTTTTCTCTCTATTTACCCTGCTTGGAATCACACAGCTTCTTTAATATGTGCTTGGATATCTCTGTTTTGGAAAATTATTAGTCAATATTTCCATCCCATTGTATGTCTATCTCCTCTCTTTCTGGGATTCCTATTATACATGATAGACCTTTCCACTGTCTATCAGCAATACATAAGTCTCTCATGCTTTCTTCTGTACACTTTTTTTTTTCTGTCAGCACTAGATAATTTCTATTGGTTTTTGGTCAATTCAGTTTCATTAGCTTGTCCAAAACAGCATATCCTATTTTGGTGAATGAAATACTGAATTATGGATACAAAATTGTAGAAGTTTTAGATAATACCTTTCTCCAAAGAAGGCTGTTTCCTTTTAGCAGCAGCACAGCAGTAACTCATTTTCCTGAGGGCTGGTCTGTTTTAGTTTTGCCTTCAATCTTAGGCAGTGGTCATGATGGGGCCACAGTGGAAAACTCAGGGTGTAATAAGGCCCCTCTAACTTGGCAGGATTTGAACTTCCATTTTTGCCTCTCTGGCATTAGATACTGAAATGTCTGCTCAGATCTTTAGCTTTTCAGCTACTGTTTTCTGCTGGGTTTCTTCTCTTGCTTATGTGTACCTCTGAAGTCAGTCAATGACTTTAGAGGGACCTGACTGCAGATTTTGAGGTTAGATTTTATGTGGTTCTCTCCTCTCCTGGACTTAAGCTTCAATTGCTTTAGTGGCCCCAAACTTCCACCTTTCTTCCTTAGCCCAGTGAGACCGTCACTTTTTATTTGGGATCTATTTCCCCTATGCCACAAACTAGGAAATGTCTCCAGGGAAAAAAGCCAGGGTGACTGGTGAGCTCACACTATACGCTTCCCTTGTCAAAGATCAAAACCCCTCAACAATTTTCTGTGTTGGCTGCCTCTTCAACAATGGAATGGCTGCCGAGAGGCACACAAAATGTGATTATGCATACACTAGAAATTCAGGTGATTACATTAAAAAAATTGAGGAATGACTTGTCAAGGACTAGACACCATGGCTCCTAATCCCAATTTATTTCACCTGACTTAATCAGTCACACAACTTTGGTGGGAGCACCAAGGTTTCCTGACTTCCAGTAAGGTTATCTTTCTACAATCATGTTTACATTAGGAAAGGCAGAAAAACTACACCAGTATTCAGCAAACTAAGGCCAAGGGGTCAAATCTAGCCCAATGCCAGTGTTTGCATGGCTAGGGGCCTAAGAATAATTTTTTACATTTTTTAAATGATTGCAAAAAAGCAAAACAAAAGAATCCTCTGTGACATATAAAAATTATATGAAACTCAAATTTTGGTGGCCATAAAGTTTAATGAAGCATAGCCACTTATTTATCACTGGACACATTCATGCTACAATGGCAGAGCTGAGCAGTTGTGATGGACTACATATGGTACTCTCATCACTTCACACTGCTTTTCGGTGCATCACAAATTATACAGATGCAGTTACAACCTGGCAGCGTCATGGGTGTCACGATTATTGCTGTACTGCAACATTTTATTTACTTTTACTACCAGTGCATACTCATCATGTCAAAGCAAAAAAAGTGAACTTTGAATGTTGTGTTTTTAAGACACAATAAAGTGTGGATTATGTTATTTAATTGGGTGCTAAGGCATTGTAGTCATTATGTAGCTGTGCTAAAAAAAAAACCACAACATATACTGATGTTACCAGATGGAGCACTCACCACAGCATTCCCAATTCATAGTAAAGCAATGGTAAGGGAACTTTTTAAAAAATTAAAATGAAATCTCATCACAGCAGAATTTCTTCACAAAAATAAAAATGAGTCTGCAACTCAAGTTTCCAAGTGGCCCATTTGTTAGCCAAGTTAAGTCATTTATCAATGGTGGGTTAATTAAATTGTATCTGATTGGAAAAGCTGAAGAACTATGTATTTTTTGAGACAATAAACTTTTTTTTTTTTTTGAGATGGAGTCTTGCTCTGTTGCCCAGGCTGGACTGCAGTGGTGTGATCTCGGCTCACTGCAAGCTCTGCCTCCCTGGTTCACGCGATTCTCCTGCCTCAGCCTCCCAAGTAGCTGGGACCACAGGTGCCCGCCACCACGCCCGGCTAATTTTTTGTATTTTTAGTAGAGACGGGGTTTCACCATGTTAGCCAGGATGATCTCAATCTCCTGACCTCGTGATCTGCCTGCCTTGGCCTCCCAAAGTGCTGGGATTACAGGCGTGAGCCACCACCCCAGCTGAGACAATAAACTTTTAAACGCCATTAGCCTTTCTGTAAAAACGGTGCTTGAAGAGTTGAGAACACTGGGAGCAAAATTAGTAAACAATTAAAAAACAAGCCAAATGGTTCTGAGTGGTGTTCCTTGGCTCTCGATGACAGGTATTACCAATACTTGTTATTTGGGGAGCCAATCCTCATTCGAAGTGACTGAAAAGTTACCCTCTATAAATAATCTATGTGGAACAACTAGAGGCAAGAATATTCTCAAAGCAGCTGAGAAAAACTATTTTAGTACAACCTGAAGTGTAATCTGCTAAGATATGTCACAACTGATGATGGTAAAGTAGAAAAATACTTAGTTGGACTATTTTACAAAGTCTGAGAAAATGTAGGATGTTTGAAGTCTGGTGCAGTTTTTTTGTGGAAAAATATCTTAATCAGGTATTACTGAACCACAGGCATCAATGGTCAACTTCATTTGCTCTAATGAACTTAACCACTGTCAGTTACATGACTATTTGTTAGTAATAAAAGCTGAATATCCTCATTTGGCCAACCACACAGGATTTTGATGGCTTAGCAGTGACAGCTTTATTGTAATTTATTTGCATTCAGGGCTGATACTGAATTTTTTCTAAACAAGAACCACCACCCTCAATCACTATTACCAAACACAGAAGAGTTTTAGAAATTAAATTTTGCGGCAGATCTAGTAATTTTTCCCCTTTTAATTCGAGGTAGCCTCTATTCTACAAAATAGAATGAAAGCTCCCCTAAATGTTTTCTAATAAATTCAGCCTAAAATTATAAGGCAAAAAAATATATGAGAAACTTCCATTGTGGTAAGTCATTCTGACAACTAATACTGTCTGAATTAAAGCAAGTTGCTTTATTTTTTAATTTTTTACTTTTTGAGATGTGGTCTTGCTTTATTGCCCAGGCCAGAGTGCAGTGGTGTAATGAGGCTCACTACAGCCTACTGGCTCAAGACATTCTCCTGCCTCAGCCTCCCAAGTAGCTGGGACTATAGGCACATGCCACCACACCTGGCTAATTTAATTTTCTATAAAGACAAGGTCTCACTATGTTGCCCAGGCAGGTCTCAAACTGCTGAACTCAAGTGATCCTCCTGCCTCCGCCTCCCAAAGTGCTGGGATTAAAGGCGCGAGCCACCATACCCAGTCAGCAAACTGCTTTATACATAACCCGTGCTGCCAAGTTAAGACAAGTGAGATCTTCATTCCCACACAATTTTGCAGCAGATACATTTTTTCAAACTCAAACTAGCATTCTTCAAACCTTGACTCAAGCGCAAAAAAAATTTCCATATATCAAAATCCATTTAACTGTGCAGCCGAGGAGCTTCCACCTAACCCTCTACTGGAAGTGATTAATCTGCAATGTAATGACATGCTGAAAGGCAAGTATCAGGAGAATTCTATAAATGCTTTCCAAGTGATGAATATGCAGTATGTCCCTGTGTAAAAAGACATCTTCTAAGATGAAATACATAGAATCTCACTACAGATCAGCATCAAGAGATGACCACTTGCAATCAGTTTTGATGACAGAGAACATTAACTTTGAATCTCAATTAAGCAAAATGTGTATCCTCTCCCAAAAGAATTCTGTCCTTTACTCAACCATTATATTTCACATTTTATATCAGTGTAAAAACTTTTCCATTGCAGGTTTGTCTTTCCAACGCACATATCCAAGGGTATGTGATATATATGTGTCTGTGTGTTGTGTGTATACTAAATTTTACTTTTCACTAACCTTATGCTACTTTCCCCAGCAAGTTCTTACTTATCATTACCTCTCTAAAACAGAAAAGATGGCAAGAAAAAAGCACTAATTCCAACACCTATGCACGGTGTCTCATAAATTTTTTTTTTTTGAGACAGGGTCTCTCTGTCACCCAGGCTGGAGTATAATGGCATGATCTTGGCTCACTGAAACCTCCACCTCCTGGCTTCAGGTGAATCTCCTACCTCAATCTACTGGGTAGGTGGGATTACAGGTGTGTGCCACCATGCCCAGCTAATTTTTTGTATTTTTAGTAGAGACGGGGTTTCGCCATGTGCCCAGGCTCGAACTCCTGACCTCAAGTGATCCACTCGCCTTGGCCTCATAAAATCTTAGTAATCTTCACTGACCACTGGTATTCTAACTCTTACTCAACCCCCACCCCCAAGATTACATACTAATTAATGGCAGTTAAATCTAGACATCCTAATTTTTTCCTAGCATTTTCTCCATATTTAGCACAAAAGCCTGCTTTTAAGCAACAAAAAGGCAGAAAAATAAAAATTCTACAATTGGCTAAAATGTGGAGTCTCTCTTTTTTTTTTTTTTTGAGATGGAGTCTCGCCCTGTTGCCTAGGCTCGAGTGCAGTGGCACAATCTCAGCTCACTGCAAGCTCTGCCTCCCGGGTTCACGCCATTCTCCTGCCTCAGCCTCCCGAGTAGCTGGGATTATAGGTGGGTGCTACTATGCCCAGCTAATTTTTTGTATTTTAAGTAGAGACGGGATTTCAGCATGTTAGCTAGGATGGTCTCGATCTCCTGACCTCGTGATCCGCCTGCCTCGGCCTCCCAAAGTGCTGGGATTACAGGCGTGAGCCACCACGTCCAGCCCCCTTTGCTTTTTCATTCTTTCTCTCTTGCTTTTCTTCTCCCTCTCCCACTCTGTCTTCCTTTCCTCCCCATCTTTCTCTATGCACACAACACACACACGGTTTTAAGTGAAAAAAAATTAGGCAGCTGCTGTACTTCCCTCTCATCTTAGGACTGCCTGTTAACAATAATTAATGTGGGCCGGGCATGGTGGCTCATGCCTGTAATCCCAGCATTCTGGGAGGCTAAGGTGGGCGGATCAGGAGGTCAGTTCAAGACCAGCCTGACCAACATGCTGAAACCCCGTCTCTACTAAAAATACGAAAATAAGCCAGGTGTGGTGGCGCGCACCTGTAATCCCAGATTACTCGGGAGGCTGAGGCAGGAGAATCGCTTCAACCCGGGAGGCAGAGGTTGCAGTGAGCTGAGATGGTGCCACTGCACTCCAGCCTGGGTGACAAAGTGAGACTCCGTCTCAAAACAAAAGAATAACTAACGTGGATTCAGAGACCAAAATGGCCTTTAGTGGCTCTGTATAGTACCACAAATTGTCTGTAATATTGTGTATATGTAAAAATATTTTTCTGAGAAGGCCCATGGCTTTCATGAATTCACAAAGCATAAGTAAAAAGTCATTTCAGGTACATTGGTAAACAAATAGCAAGTATAATGAGAAAAGAGTGAAGAAGAAAAGTGACAGATATAGGTGAGGGCTAGACATTTCAGGAATAAAGGACTTTTTTTTTTTCCACTGCACTGACATCTGCTTTGATAATACAAAAGCAAGGATGGGTAAAACTGTTAAGTGTCTCAGTACACACCAAGTCAGTGGCACCAAACCCCACTGGTAGTCAGTCACTGTGTTGTTCATTGCAACACACATGCAGTGAAACACAAAAAAGGCAGCTTCATGTATGCCCTTTGGTAAAGCAGTACAAATGATCAATTTTATTAAACTTCAATCTTTGAATACATCTCTTTAATAATCTACATGATAAAATGGAAATGCCCACAAAGCACTCCTGCTCCATCCCAAAGTACAATGGTTGTCGCAAAGGAAAGCACTCCTGTGACTGTTTTAGTTCCAAGCAGACCTAGACACTTTTTTTCACTAAACACTTTTACTGGAAAGTATTAACTGACAAACTATGGTTATTCAGACTTAGATATTCAACAGATACACGTGAACATGAACAAAGTGACCCTGTCATTTCAAGGAAAACAACTGACAGTACTTGTTGCCAATGATAAAATTCAAGCTTTCAAGTTACAAACTAAAATTCTAGAAACCTTGTAATCAGCACCATGAATCTGACAGCTTCTCCATAATTAAGGACTCTTCTGATGAGATCTTGTAACATTAACAAATGTCATTTCTGGATACTGTATTAGATAATAAGCTGTTTCAACATCTGGACATCTGCATAACTCAGCTGAATCAATATTATCCAAATGAACAACGCGTATTATAAAGTCATGTGTAAGATCCATTTAAAGTACAAGAAAGATCAATGGATTTTAATGTAAGAGAACATAAAAATTCATGGATATAATTTCAGATTCCACATCTCTTTTAAAATTCACCTTTAAAAAACCACCACTTGCTGATTTTTGGTATAAACATCAGAGAATACCCACAATTATCTAGAACAGCTATTAAACTACTCCTCCTTTTTCTAACTACGTATCTGTAGGACTACAGACTTTCTTCATATTCAACTAAAACAAGGTATCAAAAGACTGAAACAAAACAGAGATGTGAATTCAGCTGTCTTCTGTTAAAAAGACATTAGATTTGCATAAAATGATGGCACTTCTCACATTTTTGCTTTAGAAAAGTTATCTTCATAAAAAACATTTATGCTAAAATGTAATATGTTGCTACTTAAAGAACAGATATTTATTTATTTATTTAGAGACACAGTCTCACTCTGTCGCCCAGGCTGGAGTGCAGTGGCGCAATCTCAGCTCACTGCAACCTCTGCCTCCCAGATTCAAGCAATTCTTGTGCCTCAGCCTCCCAAGTAGCTGGGAATACAGGCATGTGACATCACGCCCAGCTAACTTTTTTATATTTTTAGGAGATGGGGTTTCACCATGTTGCCCAGGCTGGTCTTGAACTCCTGGCCTCAAGCAATTCCACCCGCCTCGGCCTCCCAAAGTGCTGAGATTACACGTGTGAGCTACCATGCCCGGCCGAGAACAGAAATTTTTAAATTCTCAGTTTTAACTTCTAATGCAATATTGTTAAATACCTCACATAAATAAAAGCTCGTTTTCAATTCTTTACATATATGGAGAATTTGAGTGTAAGAGGGTCTCAAGACTCAAAGTTTAAGATACACTGCCCTATAGTTCCTGGCCAAAAGCAAGCATACAACAGTGTTAAATCACTTTTCACCATTTTATCCTACCTAGAAATACCTTTCCCTCTCAGCACCAACACTGATATGTCAAACCAGATTATAAACGCTGAATAATGGGAATAGTAAAGAAACTGTTATACGTACTTACATACAAGAATAGTGGTTATATGCAATAAACAGAAAGTGGAGGAAACAGTATCTGTCACATACTTACAAGAAAGCCTTCTCAAAATTAGTATGGGGAAGTTCCAGGACTCAGTGGCACAAAGAGCTCTCTGTTAGTATTTCCTAGCTCAGGTTTGTACTAAGCAATAATGACGGCTAACATTTTCTGACCTTTAATGTGTCAAGAATTGTTTGAAGGCACTTACTATCATATATGCAGAAGAAACTGGGGCTGAAATACACCCAGAATCTGTGTCGTTAATCATTATATAAGATGGCATCCCAATGTATCAATACTTATTAATATTTGAGTAAACACTTAACTGAGTAAACATCTGATTATCATTCAGGATTCACATAATTCTAGTAGTTGGGAGTCCGAAATTCACAAAAGCTATTCCTTTCTGTCATCTAAAATCAGACCTCACTCTTTCTCACTGACAGGTTTGCAAGTTTCTCCCCCTCAGAAGTCTGGTCTCGGCCGGGCGCGGTGGCTCACCCCAGTAATCCCAGCAATTTGGGAGGCCAAGGTGGGCAAATCACAAGGTCAGGTGTTCGAGATTTAGTGAAATCCCATCTCTACTACTAAAAATACAGAAAATTAGCTGGGCATGGTGGCAGGCGCCTGTAATCCCAGCTACTCAGGAGGCTGAGGCAGGAGAATCGCTAGAACCCAGGAGGCGGAGGCTGCAGTGAGCCGAGACTGCACCACTGCACTCCAGCCTGGACAACAGTGTGAGACTCCATCTCGGAAAAAAGAAAAGGTCTGGTCTTTTTGTCTCGCTAGTTTGGCTCAAGTATTTGATAGTAATTTAAATAAAACGCTCAATTCAAACCACATTGAGGAAACATACAAGTACCTATAAAGATTCCTTCTTAATTTACTATTTAAAGTTTTAAAATACGTGATTACAACTGCTAGATATGACATTAGTGAAAGCTATGTAACACCCAATATACCTAACCTTTTATTATGAAAACTTAGATTTTGATTTCTCCAAATCTTGAGAATGAGAGGTAGGACTAGGGGGAAGGTTAAAATGGTGTCAGACAAGTCCAGTTATGCATCATTTACCAAAGGGAAACTTCCTGAGAGATGCACAGTGAGGTGATTTTGTTGTTGTGCAAACATCACAGAGTGGACTTACACAAACCTAGATGGTATAGTCTATTGCTCTTAGGCTACAAAGCATGATGCACAGTATGTTACTGTACTGAATACTGCAGGCTACTGTAACACAATGTGCTTGTATATCTAAACATATCTAAACACAGAAAAGGCACAATGTATATACAGTAATAAAGATAAAAATATTTTTCTTTCTTCAAGAATAAATTAACCTTTGCTTACTTAACATTTTTTACTTTAGAAACTTAAAAAAATTTTTAAACATTTTGAATTTTCTAGTAACGATTAGCTTAAAACAAAAGCATATCATACAGCTGTACAATATTTTCTTTATATCCTTATCCTATTAAGCCTTTTCCTATTTTTAAAAATATTTTTCACTTTTTAAACTTTTGTTAAAAACTAAGCCATATACACACACATTAGCCTAGGCCTACAGAGTCAGGATCATCAGTAACACTATATTCCGCCTCCACATCTTCACTGGAAGGTCTTCAGGGGCAGTAACATGCATGGAGCCATCACCTCCCAGGATAACGAAGCTTTTTTTCCTGGAATGCCACCTGAAGGACATGCCTGAGTCGGTTTTAACTAGTTTTTTAAAATAAGAATATATTCCAGGGCCCTGCGTAGTGACTCAAGCCTGTAATCCCAACACTTTGGGAGGCCGAGGCAGGCGGATCACCTGAGGTCGGGAGATCAATACCATCCTGGCTAACACGGTGAAACCCCGTCTCTACTAAAAATACAAAAAATTAGCCAGGTGTGGTGGTGCACGCCTATAATCCCAGCTACTCAGGAGGCTGAGGCAGGAGAATCACTTGAACCTGAGAGGCAGAGGTTGTGGTGAACTGAGATCGCGTCACTGCACTCCAGCCTGGGCAACAAGAGCGAAACTCTGTCTCAAAAAAAAGAAAAAAAAAAGGTAAATATATAACATAGCTGTTTATTACCATTATCAAGTATTATGTACTCTATATAATTGTGTTATACTTTTTTTTTTTTTTTTTTTTTTTTTTGGAGATGCAGTCTCACTCTTTCGCCCAGGCTGGAGAGCAGTGGTGCAATCTTTGCTCACTGCAACCTCCACCTCCCAGGTTCAAGTGATTCTCCTGCCTCAGCCTCCTGAGTAACTGGGATTACAGGCATATGCATGCCACCAAGCCCAGCTAATTTTTGTATTTTTAGTAGAGATGGGGTTTCACCATGTTGGCCAGGCTGGTCTCGAACTCCTGACCTCAAGTGGTCCACCTGCCTTGGCCTCCCAAAGTGCTGGGACTACAGGCATGAGCCACCACGCGTGGCCTGTTGTACTTTTACACAACTGGCAGTGCAATAGGTTTACACCAGCACTACCACAAACAAGAGTAATGCATTGCACTATGACATTATGCCTATGATGTCACTAAGTGACAGGAATTTCTCAGTTCCATTCTAATCTTACAGGACCACTAACTACCTTACATGAAGTCCACTGTTGACCAAAACATCATTTGACAGAACATATGACTATACTCAAACCAAGAAAGTGTTTTGGTCACCTTGCAACTGACCAGATGGGAACTTCTGTTACTTAGGGATATTCTGATTAACATTCTTAGAATAAAATTCCTTTATGGTGAAATATGCTATGTTAAAACCTCCCAATTATGCAAGGGTGGGCATGCATCAAAAAGCAAACGCTATTCCCTCTGGGATATGCACATATCATCAATATCTCCACTTGTCTTTGCACAGATGCAGGTAAATTTGGCAAGGGAGGGTTCTGAGGCCAGTGATGTTCACGAAGGTTATACATACTCTCACAAATCACTGTGCTCCACATGTGAATAGTGCAGAGGCAGAATAAAGGACAACTGCCCCCGCCCTTTTTCCTACTGTATGACAAGTACCCATCTAGACCAAGGACTGACTTCCTCTATCAAATCAGGAAAAAACTGGCTACTGGTTATTTATACTTGAATAAGCCTTGAAATGGCTATTTAAAGCTGCTAGAAGCAGTGGCTGCTGCCTAAGGGTATCAATCTGTATCCAATCACAAATCCTAGAAGACTCCACTGGGAATCCCCATCTACCACACCACTGCTAAACCTACTGACATTTACAAACTATTTCTTCCCCTTGCCTCCCTATATGCCACCAACATTCGAGAATAACCTTTCAGAAATACATAACAGAATTTAAGTCAGTATTTCTAAGAATCTTAACATTCCTTCATACCTGTATTACTTTACCTGTTAGAAATGTTTGAAAATGGGGCTGGGTGCCTGTAATCCCAGAACTCTGAGACTGGCCTGGGCAACAAAGTAAGATTCTGTGTCTACCAATTTTTTTTAATTAGTGGTGCATGCCTGTGGTCCCAGCTACTTGTGAGGCTGAGGTAGAAGGATCACTTGAGCCCAGAAGGTTGAGGCTGCAGGTGAGCCATGTTCATGCCACTGCACTCCAACCGGGTGACAGAGCCAGACCCTGCCTCCAAAAAAAAAAAAAATTAATTAAAAAAAATTAAAAATGCATGGCATTGGAATGTATACTCTTTTAAAAGTAATAAACGTGGAGAATAAGGAAGAAAAAGACCTACTAGATGCAACTATCTTCCCCACTAATCCTGACTCTTAATGTGGCTTTGTCTCTAGACTCAATTTAAATAATGTATTAAATCCCAACGAATCTTCATCTTGGATTTAGATATTTACCAGAAAAGCTCCAGGTCTGCATTCAGATAGCAAAATAAAAACACCTCTGGGCTACTTCTTCAAACTGTCAGTTTCCCTTACTTGCTGAACTTAATTCAGAGAAAACAAACACCTAATCTCTGAATCAGTTAAAAAATATGCCACGACCTTATGTCTCCTCTAGTATCTCATCCAGAAGAATCAAGGAGATAAAATATTCCTCGGGTGATCTCCCCCACTCCCCAACATGCTCTTTTTTCTAACAAGTCTAGCTGCACATCCACACAAAACACCTTCCCTACAGAAGTGGAGGTTGTCGGCAACAACTGACACTTCTTTCCAACCACCTAACCTTTAGGTTGCTGGGTCAGAATTAAACAATTTAATCAGTAAAGAGGCCTTAAACAACCTGGCAGCTCATCAAAAAGTTAAACATAGGGCTACCATATGACCTAGAAATCTCACTCCCAGCTATATACCCAACGGAATTGAAAGTATATGCCCACAAAAAAAAACTTCTACACAAATGTTGATAGCAGCACTACAAGTATTCACAATAGCCGAAAGAAAACAAAATGTCCATCAACTGATGAATGAATTAAAAATGTGGTGTATACATACAATGGAATATTATTCAGCCATAAAAGGAATAAAGTACTGATACATACTACAACAAAGATGAATGTTAAAAACATTAAAAGAAACCAGTCACAAAAGACAACATATTGTATGATTTCACTTGCATGAAACGTCCAGAATAGGCAAATCTAAGAGACAAAAAAAAGTAGATTAGTGGGGGCCGGGAGGGAATGGAGAGAAATGGGGTGTCTGCTACCGGGAACAGGGTTTTTTGGGGGGTATATGTGTTTGAAAATATTATACAGTTCACTGTGGTGATGGCTGCACAACTCTATAGTATACTAAAAATCATATCCTCTAAATAGGCAAACTGTATGGTATGTGAATTATATCTGGATAAAGCTGTCATTTTAAAATGGAGGGCTTTAATATGCTTTCATTAATCGATTTCATTTTTCAAATCCATTCATTTTTTTTAACCTTCAAAAGGACACTACAGGCTGGGCGCAGCACCTCGCACCTGTAATCCCAACACTTTGGGAAGCCAAGGCTGGAGGATTGCTTGAGCACAAGGGTTCAAGACCAGACTGGGCAACCAACATAGGGAGACCCCGTCTCTACCAAAATAAAAAAAATTAGCCAGCCAAGGTGTCATGTGCCTGTGGTCCCATCCACTAGGGAGGTTGAGGCAGAAGGATCGATTGAGACCAGGAAGTCGAGGCTGCAGTGAGCCATGATCAAGCCACTGCATTCCAGCCTGTCTTGAATAGGAAAAGTTAAAAGTGTAGTCTGTCAGCCTAACTAAATCTTAAGAGTACTATACCTGTTTCACAAGAAAGAAAAGGGAGATACGCACTAAGAGATCACAAGCAGTGTCACAAATTCAGACATCTGACAGGTCAAAGTTAAATGAAAAATGAATTTAAAAAACAAAACAGGTACAAACACATCCCACGATTTTCATAAAACTGTAAGTGGGCCAAAAATGTAACACAATCACATTTTGCTATGGAACTTTACACAGTGCTAATATTCTACAACTCATATTGTAATAGTCAAGTTCAGCTTCGTGGTAATATGTTAAAAAATACTTTAAGAAAAACTTTTCTATCACACAGCAAATCGCTTTTCGGTATTTTTGAAGACATTTCAATGACAAGGGAAAATGTTCATGATGTAATACTACATGAAAAATTAACTCATAAAGCTATGTAAAGAATATTCTAATGATGTAAAGCATGTGAATTTTACAAAGTATGTTAAGTATCTTTAAACAAAAATATATCAAAATTTCAACAACGGTTATCTCTGGATTGTGGAATTACAGGGGACTTCTTGAAAGAATGCTGCCCTTTCATAATCAGGAAAAAGCAAATTCTAAACAGTTTCATATTATCACATATATGACACATAATAGACATACTATATCAACTGGCACATCCCAGTTTTTAAATACCTGGATCAAGACTGTGGTTGGGAACAGAGCTGGCACTCTTATTCACCCAGCAGCAGTTTTCCATACTAACCTCCTCCCAAATGCATTAGATTCTACTCATTCCACTTCACTTCCTCCAAAATAAACTTAGCACTTATAGTTTGAATGAAGTTCCCCAGATGATTCTGCTATACTCCCATTTCCCACCCCTCTTTGAGAACCACTCATCTAAGTAAGAAGCTTTTACCGGATTTTCCAGAATACTCATACAAACTAGCTTCAATTTAAATGATCAAAACACTATGGTAAGCCACAAGAATGTGGCCAACAGGGTCACTACAGGGGATAAAGTAGAAGTCTTTGGTTTTTAGTTCTAAGCAAAAGTTAATCCAAGAAAACATACCGAAAGAATATGCACCGTCCAAATAATAAAATCAATATTTCTGTTTTACATTAAATGGCATGTTTGTATTAAAATGACCTAAAGGACTCTTTGAAAATATCATATCAAGGTCAGGCGCGGTGGCACATGCCTGTAATCCCAGCACTTTGGGAGGCCGAGGCGGGTGGATCACTTGAGGATGGAAAGTTCGAGACCAGCCAGGCCAACATGGTGAAACTACTAAAAATACAAAATTAGCCGGGGCGTGGTGGCATGCTGTAGTCCCAGCTACTTGGGAAGCTGAGGCAGAATAATCGCTTGGACCTGCAGGGGCAGAGGTTGCAGTGAGCCAACATCACCCCACCGCACTCCAGCCTGGGTGACAAGCGCAAAACTCCGTCTCAAAAAAACAAAAAACAAAAAAAACTTATCAATAATACGCCCACCTAAAAAAGAAAAACAAAAAGCAACTCATAAAATGTAGTCACCAGAAGTGTGTATAGCTGATCTGCGATTTAATACAGTAAAAAAGAAAAAACAATCAGGAATATGTTGTGGGGCTACAATCAGCATTTTAAAATGAGATCAGGTCCTGCTGAATGTTTTCCCCTAATGCAGAGAAATTCTTGCCAAATTTTTACTTACACGTTCATTTGACACTAAAAACACTAACCATAGTTATTCTTGCTAGGCAGCTTTACAAAATATCACTAACTAGCATCTAATATCACTGAAAATCCAGGTGGACAAAATTTTCTTTGAAGATTAAAAATAATTATTTACTAGAAAATTCAAGTCTGCTCTGGACAAGTCTTTCAACAGGTCTGGATCTGGGAAGGAGCTGAAAAACCTAGAATATTTAAGAATCCCTTGGGGGCACTGTCAAACTAAATATGCTTCTGTAGGATGAAGAAGTACTGATAGAATGTGTGCTGAACATAGGACAGAGAGGAGGCTGAAAAAGCCTGAAAGACACTTGTTTAGACTGGGAGCTCCTTGAGTGAAGAGACTGTGTCTTATCTTAGGATTGCTGGTGCCTGGCAAGGAGGAGGTCAACTTGTTAACGCTTGCTAAATTAAGAGAGAAACGTATCTGGACTACAATTCTTACCCGCCCCCCCCCCGCCCCCCCAAAAAAGGAAAACAGATTGTACAAACCAAATATTTAATTTGAATTCACAAAAACAAATGGAATCACTTATTTTTCCCCCAGTGTCTTTTCTAGTAACCTTGCACAACCCACTCGTGAAGTTTAAGTACCTGTAATCATATAAAGGTGCGTCTAATTTAAAAGGATACAAACATTTTAAAACATAAATCTGTTTTATGCCTACAAAATATATGGAAAATGAAATAAAATATAAATAAATTGAGATACAAACATATTTTTAAAATATTTAAATTTACAAGCAAAGTTTAAAATATATAAAAATATGCCGGGCGCGATGGCTCACGCCTGTAATCCCAGCCCTTTGGGAGGCTGAAGCGGGTGGATCACGAGGTCAGGAGTTCAAGACCAGCCAGGCCAAGATGGTGAAACCTCCGTCTCTACAAAAATACAAAAAAAATTAGCCGGGCATGATGGCGGGGTGCCTGTAATCCCAGCTACTCAGGAGGCTGAGGCGGAAGAATCGCTCGAACCCGGGAGGCGGAGGTTGCAGTGAGCTGAGACCGTGCCATTGCACTCCAGCCTGGGCGACAGAGTGAGACTCCGTCTCAAAAAATAAAAATAAAAAAAAAATAAAAAGGAGTAGGCCTCTACTTCCCAAATGTAAACAAGACATACACATTTTTAAATTAACTGTATTTCCCTCATAAAACAGTTACAAAATACAATTATTTTCAAAGCAAATTTCTCAAAGACCCAGCAAGATGTTCACATCTGAAACAAAGTCTTAGGTAGTGAACACTGACTGCAGGCACCAGGGGGCCTCCCAGGAATAACTTGATAGTAAAGGAAAAGGTAAATAAGAGTTCCTGGTAAAACTTTTGCTTCCTATTCAGTCTTAAGACTGCTGGATGGCTTTCACATCTGGAGCAAATACACAGTATTTAGTTACAGAACAGGTACTCACAGAACTTGGGTTTGAGATACCGACACATACTTTGAGAAAAAGGAATTACCCCTCCCCCATTACAATATTCTTTGATGATTTTCCAAATATAAGTACATACTGCTTCACTCTAGCAATTATCTTAAGGTAATTTGAAAGCAAACAGTACATATGCAATCGCTGGACGGCGGCTAACAAAGAGGCCTCTAAATTGTTTAAAAAGGATTAAAGGCTTTTCTACACACTCACAAAACAATTATTGATGACGAAAACTTTAGGGTAGAGGGACTGTTTGGCAGAAGACTGCATTTAACTTTGAATAATATCCTGCAATGAATCAATACATTTAACTCCCGGCTAGTCCACCTCTTCGTTTTCCCCCCTTGCCTTCCCACCAACATAAAACTATTCAATAAGAACACTTGAGCCCGGAAAGTTCAAATGCTGCGTAGACCTACAAATACCTTTCGAATACAAGACAGGCTTTAAAAATAGATTTTCACTAAGTTTGTGCAGAAATTAAGCTCTGCTCAAATCAAATGCAAAAGCCAATCCCTTCAGCAAACCCATCTACATACATCACATTTCTTAGGTGCATCTTCAACCTGATCAAATATCTTGTCTTACAATTTTTTTAGGCCAAGTAACAAACGGTAGATTAATTCCCGCTAATTTTATCCTCTCTTTAAGAAGAATCCATTCTATATAGCATTGTGTAAAAATGCAGAGCAGACGAAGCAGTCCTGTTAAGGACAGGTTTATATATATATACGTAAAATTCACTCCCGGAACGACAATCGGAGGCAGCCAAGGGCAATGCACAAAGAGAACAGAGAAGAACAGTGATTCCACGGACGCACAAAGCCCAGTGGCAGGCATCCTCTCCCCATCCTCGGGTCACCGGAGGCGAGCACCACGGCGCGCGGAGCCCGGCGGCCTTTCCGAAAGGCTGTCTCCCGCAGACCCGCTCCGCACAGCCTTCGGCCGGCGGGCCTGGCCCCCGAGGGTCCGCGGGAACGGCCCCCTCTCCCCCGATCTCCCCTGACCGCGCTCCCAGAGGCCGCTCCCCCGCGCCCAGAGCCTCCTCGCCCCCTCCTCGGTTCGTCCGCCGCGCCGCGCTCCCAGAGACTCGTCTCGGGGCGGGAAAGGGGTCCCCTCGCGTTCCGGCGGCAGACGGGGACGCAGGGGTCGGCGGCGGTGCCCGACCTCCCTCTGTCCCGCGGCCAGGCGCGCACTCACCCTCCAGCAGCCGGGTGATGAGGCTGTCCACGTTCAGCTCCCCGTCCGCCATCTTGTCGGCACAGACTCTCCTTCCCAGCAGCGGGAACAAGGGCTTCTCGGCGGCGGAGGCTGCGGCGACGGCTCGGCGTTCTCTCACCTACAAGTCACGCGGCGTTTCGACCCCGGCTCCAACTCCCCCTTTTCCCGGGCCCTCCCCCCACCCCCTCCCCGCCGGGTAGCGAGAGCGCGCGCACACTCGGAGGCACCCACGGAAAATAAATAAATAAACAAGAGAGGCCCCCTCGAACAGGGCCGCGTCAGACCCAGGCCGCCACCTCCTCCTCCTCGGCACCGCCCAGCTCCGCAAAGCTCACCAGCGCCGCCGACGGCCCCACCCGCAGCGCCACTCACTCCGCACGTCCCTTGCGCGCCGCCGCGTCACGCAGCTCTCCGCGCAGGCGCGCGGTGCGCTCCCCGCCGAGGCTCCCCTCGACGCCTGGGCCGCCGCGCAACCGCACTGGAGCGGCTTCTCCCGCTGCCGTCTTCGCGCAGGTGCGTCGCCCTCTCTCCACGTCCACGGCGCCGAGTCTCGCCACGGTGGCGCAGGCGCCAGGGAGGTTCCCCGGCTTTGCCGCGCGGAGGAAGTCCCGGTTACGCAGAGCGCGCTGGGGCAGGGCTGACCTTCCCCTTTCTCTACTTCACTGGCCTCCTCCAGACGTGGTGGTTGCGCCCTTTCGGCCTCGCTTTCCGTTTTTTGGCTTCATCCCCTAGATCTGCAAACAGTTCCTCGTGTTTCTTCCGTTAGCCGGGAAACGCGAACTGCAGCGTTTGGGACCCGGGTTTGCGCGTGTGGAAAGCAAAAGGGGTTACTCTGCTGGAGTTCGACATTGCAAATAAAGGTCTTTATCCCCGGCGGTTCTACAAAATTAGTTCTGCAGGGATTCTGGTTGAAAGAAGCGTTAAAGTGGGCCTTGTAGGAGTCAGCAATAATCCAATTTTACATGGGTGCAGGTGGCTGCCTGTGTCTAGCGCTTTCACACATCTCATATCTTCATCCACGCCGTGGGTATTTTTTTTCCACGGTGTGTTTCTGTTGCTGCCTCCAGTATATTGCTTAATCATCCTACCTGGTAATTATTTATGCATTTTTCTCCTACTCTCGACTCAGCTCCTAGGGAATAAAAACACATTAACTTATCTTTGTGCCCACAGCACCCACCAAGTATTTCCATCACGTAATACTGCCTCTAGAAAGGCAGGAGGAGAAGCAGTCACGCTAAGGATCTAGGCAAGCCAGATCTTTTGTCCGGTTTTAGGAGGTGGCCAGCCCTTACTTATTCCACAAGTGTTTTTCCAGAAACTCAGACTTGATATTGCCTCAAGTCCAAGGCAGTGTGCTTCCCCCACTCACATATCACTAATAGTAGCTAACATTTGTTCAGATCCCTGTATGTACTCTGCCACTGTTTTAAATGTTACACCCGGGTTACCTCATTTAATCCTTACAACTGCCCTGTGAGGTAGGTACTATTATTATCTCTACTTTGTAGATGGGATTCACCGAGGCACAGACGGTTAAAAAACCTAGCCCAAATAACACAAATAAACAGCAGAGCATGCAGTGCTAGAGTCTGCATTCTTAACAATTGCTATATTCTCCCTCTCCGTGAATGTGGGCTGAGATGCTGAAACAGGCATGTGCTGTGGGGGAGAAAAAGCTTTGTCCAACCAAGTGCTTTCTAATGTCCAGATGACATAGAGCTAGGATTTCCTAATGTCTTTTTTCCCCTATTTTTCTCTCCATTTCAGGGTTGAGTTTGTGCATCGATTGTGAACACAACAGGCAGCAGGCTATAATGGTGGTCCTGGCTGGAGTAGTTTTCACAGACTTCAGTAATCTGTGGAGATGAACGGGCAGTTCTCTGTAGTTTTCACAGATCACTGCCAGTTCGTTTTGAGGCCTTCAGGAGTGAAGACCTGGCTCATCATCACTCTTTGTTGTTTTGTTAAATTTATTTACACCCTACTTTATTCCAGAGGAAAGGATTTAACGTAGTTTACATAAATGTGTACATCAGGGTAAATTAAAAATAAGTACAGAGAAAAATAGGACAAAAGAAAACCGTGAGTGTGAAAGATAAGATTAAGCCAGCAGTTTTGTATGCAAAATGCATGGTGTAAGGTCCTATTGGTTTGCTGGAGGTAGGCCACACATATGACTCTCAGTTTTCTAGCAACCAAGAAAAAGATCAGTTGCAATCGGAGTAGGTGTTTTGGCTAAGCTGGAACTAGGACTTGAATATAGCAGCTTGTAGAGTTATACCACTTGCCCAAATCTCTTCCATGAGCCTCTTTAAGTGTAACAGAATGCCTGGGAGCACGTAAATGCTCCTACTTAGATGCCTACTTAGCCTCTAATTTTCATGGGGCCCATGAATCCCATGAAAAAGAACTTTGAACCCTGTCCACAATTAGAGTTCAGGTATACGCAGACATGTTTAAAGACAAGGGACACCCAAAGGAAAGATTGCACAGAGAGAAAGTGAGCATCCGAGAGAAAATCACCACAAGTGAGGCAGAGGGAGGCCGGTCTCAGCAGAGTTTTGGAGGTCGTGAGAAGAAGAGGTAGGAGATAGGAGAGTGGTTCCGAGTACTTGCCTGCTGATGTTACCTTCTCCACCCCCACCAGGTTTTCCAGTGCCTGGAGTCTTGGGCAGGAATGGGCCACTGTAAGAAAGAGCTTTATCACTAGGGCCTCAGCCAACTTTTCTGTGGGATATCCCTCCAAAATAATTAAGAGTTCAGAATGCTTCAGATTTTGAAGTGAAACTGGTACATATATTAAGTGTTACTTAATAACCCGATAGTTTCTAGGGCAGCTCACCATAATCCCAAGTATTAGCCACCACCCTCACCCCCTTCAGAGTAAAATGTGTTTCCTGAAGGAAGTTGGGAAAATGAAGAAAAAAAATACAAAAATCACCTATAATCTTACCAGTCATAGATGGCAGTTTTCCTGTCTTATTTCTGAATAATGGTTGTTAAACATTTGCCAGCACACCATAAGGCTTAGGGAGGCATCTGGGTCATGCATGTTAATATCCTTGGGTAATTCCAGAAATCTCTATGAAGGGAAACTCCTGTTATTTATCTAGACTTCCTGATTGCAAGGGGTTTGGGCATCATGATTTAGGGGTCTTAATAAAATTATTATTTTATTTTTACTAATAGATAATGTCTGTGCCTATCAGATAAAGGCAAACCAGTGCTCAGAGGAACCCAACCATCTCTGAATTGAGACCAGAGAGCTGTCTCTATGGATAGTCCTTAGAGAAGGCATTTCGGAACACAGTAAACAGCAGCCTGGTGACTCCGGTTAGTAAACGCAGCAAAGACTTTCATAGGGATGTTTTTCTTATATGCCTGTCAGTATTAGCCAGTAGCCAATCTGGTGTGAAAGTGAGTAAGTTTAGGTAGCAAAATGTGGAGGGGGTGATATATAGTTTTTTGCTGCTCTGGCTTAATCCAAGATGACTTTTAAATGAATGAATCAACATTCATTGGGCTGTCCTTCCATAAATATGATTCTTCTCAATCAAGTGTTTAATAAGTCTTAAGTAGTGGTAAGTTGAAATTTTACTAGTTGTATCTGGAGGTCAGCCATTCTTTATATCGCATGCATTAAGCTTTTATAGTCAGCTCAATTCAAGAAAATTGGAAAACCAGACAAGGACATATATGCATCATTAGGAGGCCACCTCTCTCAATACAGAGCCAGGCCTAGGTGGTACAGCCAGGCAGGGCCAAGATTTGTTCTTAAGATTTAGTTTTGGTTTCATTTCATTATACATATGAGAATAGCCAAAATTATAGCTAAGCCATAAGGCATGTCCTCAGCCAGTTTAGTCCCCCAGAATTATAAGGCAAATATAAATAAATGCCTCCTTCCCTGCCCTTGGTCAGTAACCTCCCCGGTGGCCCCAACCAACTCTCTCTTCTCTCTCTCTCAGTTTGTCTTAAGCTAACTCCATAGTACATCCGTATCTTTCAAGATAAAGTGATTGAAAAATAAATGTCTAGTAATTGAAGGAGTTAACTGGCTATTTAGAACTGTTAACTATAAGGCAATTAAAGCTAGGTGAACAGCTACCACAAGTAATGACTATTTAATTGTTGAAGAGTTTATCTGTGGCCTTTTTTTCTTGTAATTAGATTACAGGGCCAGTTGCCTTTGTTACAATAAAAGCAAGTCATCTACACAGGTAAGAATGTTTCTCTTTTATTGCTCCCCCCTCCCCCCATCCTGCTCACTGAAATGGATACCAGGAAATAACTGTTTGATGAGGGAAAGTATACAATATGTGAATATTTGTTTCAAATGAAACAGTGTACTGTAAATGTTTTGTTTCTTGTTGCTCTGTTTCTCCTGTAGTATATCCAAATCACATATAATTCACCTTTTCAGTTGGAGGTTTACCGCTAAATGGCTTAATTTTTTTTCTTTTTTTGAGACAGAGCCTCACTCAGGCTGGAATACAGTGGCTCATTCACAGCTAACTGCAGCTTTGACATCTCAGGCTCAAGCAATCCTTCTGCCTCAGCCTCCGTAGTAGCTGAGACCATAGGCATGTGCCACCATGCCCGGCTATTTTTTTTTATTTTTAGTAGAGACAGGGTCTCGCTGTGTCAGGCTGGTCTCGAACTCCTGGGCTCAAGCAATCCTCCCACCTCGGCCTCCCAAAGTGCTGGGATTACAGGCATGAGCCACCGCACCTGGCCCTAACTGGTTTTTATGTCTCTGTTTCAATTGGGTTTTGGTAGATAAGACAAGGAAAGCATTACTTTTTTTATGTAGTTATAAAATGAGTAGCTTCTCATAATATATAAGACCACATTAAAATTAATAGCATATGTCTGTTAAAACTAAAGCCAAACTATTTGTGAGCTGTGAAATATATTCATCAGAGTTACATCCAACACCAATAGGTCTTTTATATAGGAAACACTGGTTAAATAGAATATTTATTAATTATTATTTAAATCTTGATTTAAACCAAATCCAGTCTATCATAATAAGTTCTTAATTGAAATGCTCTATGGTACTTGTTATTTAAGAAAACCTTACAGTGAATAGACCTCTGAAGCAAAAAGAATAATGAACCAATTAAGTATTTATGAAACACTTAGTGAGTTTGAGTCTGTGTTGAAGAAGGCATGACTTCCCAACTTTCAAGTTGTTTAATGACTATGTGGGAAAATGACCACAAAATGACTTGGATAGTGGGAAAAGCATTGGCTTGGAGGTGGGAGAACAAAGCAGCTGAATAACCTTAGACAATTCAATCTTTCTGAACCTTGGATTCATTACCTACAAAATGTGCCCATTAATAAATGATTTCCAAAGCTTCTTCTAGCTCAAACAAGTCTCTGATTCTAAGACATACAAATAAAACCCAAAATGTAACATAATATTGTACATGCCGTCCCCAGCTCAGGAACTGGACCAACTCCAAAGGGTCAATTGTTCGGAACATGGAATATATTTTCCCACAGAGACTGTGGTACAAATGGTGGTTAAACTCTCAGATCAGTCTGCAAAATCAATTTAGTCCTTAATGTAACTATAGAAGAGTGTCCATGGCAATATAGACTCTAGCCACCAATTATAACAGAGTTTATGGGGAATATTTATTGAGGATTCCTATTTGGCATGGCAGAAAACATCTCTCAGTGTTTTCTACTACCCTGAGCAATAGACGTGAAGACAAGTCTAGTTCCAATTTACAGACAGACCTGGACCCTATATGGGAGACAAAGGCTGGGCTGGCAGCATAGAGGGCAAGGGATGCTCTGATACCTTTGAATCCTTGGGGGGCGGGGGGGAGTGGGGGCAGGGCATGGTGGGCTGAGCACAGTTCATGACATCTTGGGGTTTGGTTGCCAGGAAGGAGCTGGCTCCCAAACCAAAGGATAGGGAATGTGAAGGCAGAAGGAAGAAAGGGAGTAAATATATTGTGCTGGGAACTTTTTTTAAAAAAGATACAATTACTTTTAATCTCACTTTGCGATTGAGGAAGTTGTGATCTAGAAAGGTTAAATTATGGCTGGGCTTGGTGACTCATGCGTGTAATCCCAGCACTTTGGGAAGCCGAGGCAGAAGGCTTGCGTGATCCCAGGAGTTCAAGACCAGTCTGGGCAACATAGCAAGGCTTCATCTCTACTAAAAAAATTCAAACTTGGCCAGTCCCTGTGGTATGCACCTGTAGTCCTAGCTACTCTGGAGACTGAGGCAGGAGGATCCCTTGAGCATAGGAGGTTGAGGATGTGTTGAGCTATGATCATGCCACTGTACTCCAGCCTGGGTGACAGAGCAATACCTGTCTCTAGAAAACAAAAACAAAGTTAAATTGCATTGATTTACTAGCAAAACGAGGACTTGAATCTCAATCTCTCCATCTCCTTCAGATTTTTACTCGAAAGCCTTCATACTGTGCAAGAGCCTACTCTTTTTGTCCCCTCTCCTTCCTGCACAAGAGCACCCTAGAACCCAGGGTCCCCATGCCCACCGTTATTCCTATTTTTCATTCTCTACTTTTCAGGGCAACCTGCTCAGCAATGAGCACAGCATTTTTCTGTTTTGCCCCTGTGTGTTTTAACGGTGCAGTCACCTCAAAGAATGACTTTATTGTTGCTAAAAAAAGGTTGCTCTCGCTCCTCATAGTCCAGTCCAGGTTTTAACAAACCACCCAGAGAATGTGATTGAGTGATCCCAAGCTCTAAGAACATTTAGGTACTTCTAGTAGTGACATTCCTATTAAGACAGAGCCCAGCTTGGCTGGGAGATCCAATGTCCCCATGCCCAGGTGACAGGCATTGCTCCTTTGTCAGAAAGGTTCCTGGCTGGAGGTTCATAAGTGTACCATGTGCTGGGAATTTTTACTGACATGATCACAATTAATCCCTCAGAAAATCCTGTGAAGTAAGTAGTTTCCCTTTTATAGATGTGGGAATGAATCAAGACTCAGAGGCTTTGACTTGTCTTTAGGCACCAGGTCAGTCCAATTCTAAAGCCCTGGCTGGAATACCCAGGCAGTGTGATTTAGAGATGCTGGGCTAGTTAGGTGGACTAGCTCTGGGACTCTGTTGTGAGAAAAAGTGAGTGGCGATGGGGTGGGGCAGCGGATGTAACTTGATGGCAAGGATTGTCAACTTACAGCAGGAAAATTTTGGGTGAGGAGGAGCAGAATATGGGTGGTTCTGGCAGCGAGACAGTCTTCAGGAATGAGAAGGAGAGGTCATCCCCAGCTACCTCCAGGAGAAAGGTAGGGAATGCCTTCCCTGCACATCTGAGGGGCTTCTTGGCCAGACAGACATTCACAATAAGCAACTCTCTTTTGTCCACATTCCTTTTTTAAAAATTTTTATTTTCGGTTTGGTGGTACATGTGAGGGTTTGTTACATAGATAAACACATGTCATCAGGGTTTGTTGTACATATATTACATCACCCAGGTATTAAGTTCAGTACCCACTAATTCTCTTTTCTGCTTCTCTCCCTCCTCCCACCCTCCCGCCTCAAGTAGACCTTAGTGCTTGTTTTCTTTTTTGTATTCGTAAGTTCTTATCATTTAGCTCCCACTTATAAGTAAGAACATGTGATATTTGGTTTTCT
Source organism: Homo sapiens (assembly GCF_000001405.40). Classification (NCBI taxonomy): domain Eukaryota; kingdom Metazoa; phylum Chordata; class Mammalia; order Primates; family Hominidae; genus Homo; species Homo sapiens. The sequence continues at coordinate 28,744,523 of NC_000002.12, read as the reverse complement.
GTTTCTGAATTAGTTTGCTAAGGATGGTAGCCTCCAGCTCCATCCATGCATCCATGTTCCCTCAAAAGACATGATCTTGTTTTTTTTGTTGTAGTTGTTAGTTTGTTTTTGAGACAGAGTCTCCTTCTGTTGCTTAGGCTGGAGTGTAGTGCCATGATCTCGGCCCGCTGCGATCCCCACCTCCTGGGTTCAAGTGATTCTCCTGCCTCAGCCTCCTGAGTAGCTGGGATTACAGGCATCCGCCACCACGCCCGGCTAATTTTTGTGTTTTTAGTAGAGACAAGGTTTTGCCATGTTGGCCAGGCTGGTCTCGAACTCCTGATTTAAGATGATCCACTTGCCTTGGCCTCCCAAAGTGTTGGGATTACAGGCGTGAACCACCACACCTGGCTTGATCTTCTTCTTTTATGGCTGCATAATATTCCATGGGGTATATGTACCACATTTTCTTTATCCAGTCTGTCATTGATGGGCATTTAGGTTGATTCCATGTCTTTGCTATTGTGAACAGTGCTGCAATAAACATTCACATGCAAGTGTCTTTATGGTAGAATGCTTTATATTCCTCTGGGTATACACTCAGTAATGGGATTGCTGGAGTCTGCTTTTAACTCTTTGAGGAATCACCATACTGCTTTCCACAATGGTTGAATAAATTTACACTCCCACCAACAGTGTGTAAGGGTTCCCTTTTCTGCGCAACCGTACCAGCATCTGTTATTTTTTGACTTTTTGGTAATAGCCGTTCTGACGGGTATGAGGTGGTATCTCATTGTGGTTTTGATTTGCATTTCCCCAATGATCAGTGATATTGAGCTTTTTCTCTTATGCTTCTTGGCCACATGTATGTCTTCTTTTGAGAAGTGTCTAGATGTTCATGTCCTTTGCACACTTTTTAATGGGGTTGTTTTTCTCTTATAAATTTAAGATCCTTATAGATGCTGGATATTAGACCTTTATCAGATGCATAGTTTGCAAATATTTTCTCCCATTCTGCAGGTTGTCTGTTTACTCTGTTGATAGTTTCTTTTGCTGTGCAGAAGCTCTTAAGTTTAATTAGCTCTCATTTGTCGACTTTTGCTTTTGTCGCGATTGCTTTTGGTGTCTTTGTCATGAAATATTCGCCCATTCCTATGTCCAGGATAATATTGCCTAGATTCTCTTCCAGGGTTTTTATAGTTTGGGGTTTTGCATATAAGTCTTGAATCTATCTTGAGTTGATTTTTGCATATGATGTAAGGAAGAGGTCCAGCTTCAGTCTTCTGCATATGGCTAGCCAGTTATCCCAGCACCATTTATTGAGTAGGAGGTCTTTTCCCCATTGCTTGTTTTTTTGTCAGCTTTGTCAAAGATCAGATGGTTGTAGATGCGTGGCCTTATTTCTGGGCTCTCTATTATTTTATTTATTTATTTATTTATTTTTATTTATTTTTATTTTTTTGAGACAGAGTCTCCCTCTGTCACCCAGGCCGGAGTGCAGTGGTGCGATCTCTGCTCACTGCAACCTCCGCCTCCTGGGTTCAAGCGATTCTCCTGCCTCAGCCTCCTGAGTAGCTGAGATTACAGGCACGTGCCACCACGCCAGGCTAATGTTTCTTTGTATTTTTAGTAGAGATGGGGTTTCACCATGTTGGTCAGGCTGAAACTCGA